>NC_000008.11:43784345-43983744 GCF_000001405.40 Homo sapiens
GTTAAGGGAAAAACCAAATATCCAAAGATAAGAGCTAGAAAAAATCTATCTGTGAAAATGCTTTGGGATGTGTGGGTTCATCTCACAGAGTTAAAGCTCTTTTTGAGTCAGTATGCTGGAATCACTCCTTTTCTAGAAACTGCAAAGGGCCATTTTAGAGGCAATTGGGGTCTATGGGGAAAACCTGAATATTCCCAGGTAAGAACTATAAAGAAGTTATTCATGAAACTGCGTTGTGATGTGTGGATTCATCTCACAGAGTTGAACCTTTCTCTTGTTCAAGCAGGTTGGAAACACTCTTATTGTGGAATATGTGAAGTGACATTTATGAGCCCTTTGAGGCTTGTGGGGATAAACTGAATATCCCCAGATAAAAACTAGACAGAAGTTATCCTTGAATCCACTTTGTGATGTGTGGATTCACCTCACAGAGGTAAAGCTTTGTTTTGATTCAGCAAGTTGGAAACAGTCTTTGTATAGAATATGTGAGAGGATCTTTGGGAGCCCATTGAAGCATAGGGGAAAAACTGAATATTCCCAGATAAAAACTACAAAGAAACTCTCTGTGAAACTGCTTTGTGATGTTTGGATTCATCTCACAGATTTAAACTTCTTTTCTTTTGATTCAGCAGGTTTGTAACACTTTTTTTTTTTTGTAGAATCTCTGAAGAGAAATTTGGGAGCCCACTGAGAGCATTGGGGAAAAACAGAATATTCTCAGATAAAAACTAGAAAAAGCACTATTTAAAACTTCTTTGTGATGTGTGGATTCATCTCACAGATTTAAATCTTTCTTTTGATTCAACACCTTGTAAAATCTCCTTTATAGAATCTGCAAAGGGACATTTGGCAGCTTATTGAGGACTATGGGGAAAAACGGAATATCCCTAGTTAAAAACTAGAAAGACACTATCTGTGAAACTGCTTCAGGATGTATGGATTCATCTAACACTGTTATACCTTTCTTTTGATTCGGCACATTGGAATCACTCTTTTTGGAGAATCTACAAAGGGACATTTAGGTGCTCATTGTGGTCTATGGGGAAAAACAGAATATCCCCAGATGAAAACTAGAAAGAAACTATCTGTGAAGCCACTTTGAGATGTGTGGATTCATATCACAGAGCTCAACCTTTCTTTTGATTCAGCAAGTTGGAAACACTCTTTATACAGAGTATGTGAAGGGACACTTGTGAGCCCATATGGGCCCTTGGGGAAAAAGTGAATATTCTCAGATAAAAACTAGGAAGAAGCTATCCATGAAATTACTTTGTGATGTGTGAATTCATCTCACAGTTAAATATTTCTATTTGATTCAGCAGGTTGGAAACACTCCTTATGTAGATTCTGTGAAGGGATATTTGGGAGCTTATTAGAACTATGGGGAAAAACAAAATATCCCCAGAAAAAAATGAGGAAGAAACTGTCTGTGAAAATGCTTTGTAATGTGTGGATTCATCTTACAGAGTGAAACATTTCTTTTGATTCAGCAGGTTGGAAACACTGTTTTTGGAGAATCTGCAGAGGGACATTTGGGATCCAATTTTGGTTTAGGTGGTAAAACGGAATACTATCATATAAAAACTAGAAAGAAGACATCTGTGGAACTGCTTTGTGATGTGTGGATTTATCTCATAATGTTAAGCCTTTTTTTTTATTCATCTCATAGGAAGCACTCTTTTTAGAGAATCTGTGAAGGGACATTTTTGTGCACGATGAGGCCTAAATCAAAAAAAACCTGAATATCCCCAGATAAAAACTAGAAAGACACAATTCATGAAATCATTTTCTGATGTGTGGATTCACATCACAGAGTTAAACCTTTCTTTTGATTCAGGAGGTTGGAATCACTGCTTGGGAGAATCTGCAAAGGGACATTTTGGAGCCCATTGTGGCCTATGGCAAAATGTGAATATCCCCAGATAAAAACTAGAAAGAAGCTATCTGTGAATCTGCTTTGAGATGTGTGGATTCATCTCACAGAGCTAAATCTTTCTCTTGATTTAGCAGGTTGGAAACACTCTTTTTGGAAAATCTGCAAAGGGACATTTTGGAGCCTATATGGGCCTATGGGGACAAACTGAATACCCTTAAAAAAAAACTAAGAAGAAGCTATGCATGAAATTGCTTTGTGACGTATGGATTCTTCTCACAGAGGTAAACGTTTCTATTGATTAAGCAGGTTGAATACACTCCTTTTGTAGAATCTGCGAATGGACATTTTGGATATTATTGAGAACTATGGGGAAAAACAGAATATCTCCCCCCTCCCCCCCCAAAAAAAACTAGAAAGAAGCTATGTGTGAAACTGCATTGTAACTTGTGGATTCATCTCACAGAGTTAAACCTTTCCTTTTTGACTCAGCAGGTTGGAAACACTCTTTTTGGAGAATCTGAGATGAGAGATTTGGGATCCCATTGTGGTTTATGGGCAAAACGGAATACTCTCAGATAAAAACTAGAAAGAAGCTATCTATGAAAATGCTTTGTGATGTGTGGATTCATCTCACAGTGTTAAAACTTGCTTTTGGTTCATCACGTTGGAAACACTCTTTTTAGAGACTCTGTGAAGGGACATCTGAGTGGTCGATAAGACCTAGATCAAAAAAATTAATACCCTAGATAAAAACTAGAAAGAAGCAATCTGTGAAACTGCTTTGTGATGTGTGGATTTATCTCACAGAACTACAACTTTCTTTAGATTCAGCTGGTTGGAAACAGTGTTTTTGTAGAATCTGCAAAGTAACATTTGGGAGCCCTTAGAGCCCTATGGGGAAAAACCGAATATCCTCAGATAAATAGTAAAAGAAGCTATCTGAGAAACCACTTTGTGATGTGTGGATTCATTTCACGAAGATAAAACTTTCTTTTGCTTCAGCAGGTTGGAAACGCAGTTTTTGAAGAATCTGCAAAGAAAGATTTTGGAGTACATTGAGGCCTATATGAAAAAAAACAGAGTATCCCCAAATAAAAACTATAAAGATGTTATCTGTGAAATTACTTTCTCATGTATGGATTCAACTCACAAAGTTAAAACTTTCTGTTGGTTCAGCAGCTTGGAAACCCCCTTTCTGAGAATCTGGAAAGGGAAAATCTTTAGTCCATTGAGGTCTATGGAAAAAAAACTGAATATTCTCGAAAAAAAAAAAAACTGGAAAGAAGCTATCTGTGAAACTGCTTTATGATGTGTGGGTTCATCTTAGAGTTAAACATTTCTTGTGATTCAGCATGTTGGAAACATTATTTTTGGAGAATCTTCGAAGGGACATTTGGGAGACCATTGAGGCCTATGAGGAAAATATGAATATCTCCAGTTAAAAACTTGAAAAAAGCTATCTGTGAAACAGATTTGAGATGTGTGGATTCATCTCACAGAGTTAAATCTTTCTTTCAATTTATCATGTTGGAAACACTCTTTTTGGAAAATCTGTGGGGAAATATTTGAGCTTCCATTGAGGTCTATTGAAAAAAACTGAATATCCCTAGATAAAAACTAGAAAGAAGCTATCTGTGTAACTTATTTATATGTTTGGAATAATCTCACAGAGTTAAACCATTTTTTTGATTCAGCAGTTTTTAAACACTCTTATTGGAGAATCTGCAAAGGGAAATTTTGAAGCATATTCAGGCCTATGGAGAAATACTGAATATACCCAATTAAAAACTAGAAATAAACTATCTGTGAAACTGCTTTGTGATGTGTAGATTAAACTCAAAAATTAAAACTTTCTTTTGATTCAGCAGGGTTGGAAACAGTTCTTTTGAAGAATCTGTGAAGGGATATTTGGGAGCACTTTAAGGCCTATGGGGAAAAACCGATTATCCCCAGATGAAAACTTGAAAGAAGCTATCTGTGAAACTGCTTGGAGATGTAATGATTCATTTCACAGAGTTAAACCTTTCTTTTTATTTAGCCAATTGGAAACCGTTTTTTTTTGGAGAATCTGTAAAGGGCCATTTAAGGGCCCTTTGAGGTCAATAAGGAAAAAGAAAATATCCCCAGATAAGCACTATAAAGAAGCTCTCTGTGAAACTGTTTTCTGATGTGTGAATTCATGTCACAGAGTTAAACCTTTCATTTGATTCAGCAGGTTGGAAACACTCTTTTTGGATAATGTGCAAAGTGACATTTGAGACCCCTTTGAGGCCTATGGGGAAAAACCACATATACCCAGAAAAAACTAGAAAGAAGCTATCAGTGAAACCGTTTTGTGATGTGTGGATTCATCTCACAGGTTTCCAACTTTCTTTTGATTCAGCAGGTTGGAAACACAGCTTTTGTAGAATCTTCGAAAGGACATTTGGGAGTCTAATTAGACCAATGAGGAAAAACAGAATATACACAAATAAGAACTACAAAATAGCTACCTGTAAAACTGTTTTGTGATGTGAGGATTTATCTCACAGAGGTAAACCTCGCTTTTCATTCACCAGGTTGGAAACATTCTTTTTGGTTAATCTGTGAAGAAACATATGAGAGCCCTTTGAGGACTATGGAGAAAATCTGAATATCCCTAGATAAAAATGAGAAAGAAGCTATCTTTGAAACTGCTCTGTGATGTGTGTATACATTTCACAGAGTTAAACCATTCTTTTTTTTTCAGCATATTGGAAACTCTTTTTGGAGAATCTGTGAAGGGACATTTCAGAGCCCATTGTTACTTACAAAGACAAACTGAATATCCACAGATAACATCCAGAAAGAAGTTATCTGTGAAACTGCTTTGCGATGTGTGGATTCATCACACAGAGTTAAATGTTTCTTTCAATTCTTCAGGTTGGAAATATTGTTTTTGAAGAATCTGTGAAGGTACATTTGGGATCCCATTGAGGCCTATGGGGAAATCTGGAATATCCCCAAATAAAAACTAGAAAGAAGCTATCTGTGAAACTGCTTTGTAATTTGTGGATTCATCTCACAGAGTTAAAACTTTCTTTTGATTAGGAGGTTGGATACATTCTTTTTCGAGAATCTGTGAAGGGGCATTTGGGACCCCATTGAGGCCTATGGGGGAAAAAAATACACCCCCCAAAAAACTCAAAGAAACTATCTGTGAAATGGTTTTCTGATGAGTGGATTCATTTCATAGAGTTAAACTTTTCTTTTAATTGGGAGTCCAATGAGGCCTATGAATAAAACTGAATATTCTTTTGTTTCAACAGGCTGGAAACATTCGTTTTGCAGAATCTGCAAAGGGACATTTTGTAACTGTTATAACCTATGGGGAAGAAAAGAATATCCCAAGAAAAAAAGGAAAATAAAACTATCTGTGAAACTGCATTGGGATGTGTGGATATCTCTCACATAGTTCAATTGTTCTTTTGATTCAGCAGTTTGGAAACACTCTTCTTGGAGAATTTGTGAAGGAACATTTGGGAGCCCATTGAGGTTTTTGGAAAAAAAAAAACGAATATCCCCAGACAAATACTAGAAAGAAACTATCTGTGAAAATGCTTTGCAATTTGTGGATTCATCTCAGAGCGTTAAACCTCTCTTCTGATTCACTGTTGTTGGAGTGAATCACTCTTGGAACCACTCTTGTTGGAGAATTTGTGAAGGGACATTTAAGTGCTCAAAGAGGCCTTTGTGGGGTATCCCCAGATAAAAACGAGAAAGAAGCTATCTGTGAAACTTCTTTGGAATGTGTGAATTCATCTCACAAATATAAACTTTTCTTTTGATCCAACTGGTTAAAGACACTGTTTTTGGAGAACATGAGGAGGGAAATTGAAGAGCCCATAGAGGCCTAAGCATAAACACTGAATATCCCCAGATAAGAACTAGAAAGATGTTATCTGGGAAACTGCTTTTTGATGTGTGGATTAATCTCATAGATTTGAAAATTTCTTTAGATTCAACCAGTTGTTAACACTCTTTTTCTGTAATCTGTGAAGGGACATTTGGAAGCCCATTGAGGCCTATGTGGAGAAATTCAATGGGCCAAGATAAAAGGAAAAAGAAGATATCTGGTAAACTCTTTTGTGATGTGTGGATTCATCTCATAGAGTTAAACCTTCCTTTTGCTTCAGCAGCCTGGAAATACTGTTTTGAAGAATCTGTGAGTGGACTTTTGGAGCTTATTGAGGCCTATTTGGAAAAACAAAATATCCCCAGATAAAAACTAGAATGAAGCTATCTGTGAAACTGCTTTGTTCTGTGTGGATTAATCTCAAAGAATTAACCTTTTCGTTATATCCAGTTGGTTGGAAACACTATGGAGAATCTGTGAAGTGACAATTTGGAGCCATTTGAGGCCTTTGGGGAAAAACTGACTATCTTCAGATAAAATCTAGAAAGAAGATATAAGTGAAACTGCTCTGTGATGTGTGGATTCACGTCAAAGTGTTAAAACTTTCTTTTGATTCAGCAGGTTGGAAATACTTTTTTTGTGAAGTTTGCAATTGGACATATTTGAGCCCATTGAAGCTTATGGGATAAAGCTGAACATCCCTACTTAAAAAGAACAAAGACTCTACCTGTGAAAGTGCTTTGTGATGTGTGGATTCATCTCACAGGGTTAAACCTTTTTTTTATTCAACTGGTTGGAAACACTCTTTTTGTAGGATCTGTGAAGGGACATTTGAGATCCCATTGAGGCCTTTGGGGAAAAACCGAATATCCAAAAATAAAAACCAGAAAGAAGCTATTTGTGAAACTGCTTTGTGATGCATGGATTAATCTCACAGAGTTAAACTTCATTATATCCAGCAGGTTGGAAACACTCTTTTTGGAGGATCTGTTGAGGAGACATTTGGGAGCCCATTGAGGATTTGGGGAAAAAACGAATATCCCCATATAAACTTGGAAGAAGCTATCTGAGAAACTGTTTTTTGATGTGTGGATTCATTTCAAAGAGTTAAAACTTTATTTTGATTCAGCACGTTGGATATATTTTTTTGTAGAATTTGCGAATGGACACTTGTAAGCCCATTTAAGCCTACAGAATAATGTGGAACATCCCCACATAAAAAGAAAGAAAGTATCTGTGAAAATGCTTTGTGATTTGTGGATTCATCTCAAAGAGTTAAACCTTTTTTTTCATTGAGCAGGTTGGAAACACTCTTTCTGAAGAATCTGCAAAATGATATTATGGAACTCATTGAGTCCTAAGGGGAAAAACAGAATATCCCTAAATAAAAACTAGAATGAAGCTATTTGTGAAACTGATTTGTGATGTGTGGATTCATCTCACAGAGTTAAACCTTTCTTTTGATCCAACAGGTTGGAAACACACTTTTTGTAGATATTCAAAGAAATATTTTGTAGCCCATTGAGGTCTATAAATAAAAACTGAATATCCCCAGATAAAGACTAGAAAGAAGCTATATGTGCATTGCTTTGTGATGTGTGAATTCATCTCACAGAATTAAAACTTTGCTTTGATTCAGCAGGTTGGAAAGAATCTTTCTGGAGAATCTGCAAAGGAACATTCAAAATCCTATTGAAGCCTATAGGAAAAAGAGAATATCCTCACCTAAAAACTAGAAAGAAGCTATCTGTGAAACTGATGTGATGTGTGGATTCATATCATACAGTTAAAACTTTCTTTATATCCAGCAGGTTGGATACACTCTTTTTGTAGAGTCTGAGAAGGGACATTTTGGAGTGAATTGAGTCCTGTGGGAAAAAACTGAACATCTTTACATAAAAAGAAGAAATATGCCATCTCTGAAAGTGCTTTGTGATGTGTGGATTTATCTACCAGAGATAAACCTTTCTCTTGATTCAGCAGCTTGCAAACACTCTTTCTTTAGAATCTGGGAAGGGAAATTTGGGAGCCCATTGTGATCTTTAAGTAAAAACCAAATAGCCCCATATAAAAACTAGAAAGAAGCTAGCTGTGAAATGCTTTTTTATGTGTGGATTCATCTCACATACTTAAATCTTTTGTTTTGTATAACAGGTTGGAAATACTCTTTTTGTGGAATCTCCAAAGAGACATTTGGAAGCCCTTAGAGGACTATGGAAAAAAATGAATATGCCCGTATAAAAAATAGAAAGAATATTTCTATGACACTACTTTGTGATGTCTGGATTAATCTCACAGAGTAAACCTTTCTTTTGATTCAGAATGTTGGAAGCACTTTTTTTGGATGTCCTGCAAAGAAACTTTTGGGAACCCATTGAGAGTGAAAGGAAAAAACAGAATATCCCCAGATGAATACTACAAAGAAGCTATCACTGTAACTGCTTTGTGACGTGTGGATTCATCTCACATACATAAACTTTGGTTTTATACAGCAGCTTGGAAACACTGTTTCTTGGAGAATCTGTGAAGGGACATTTAGGAGACCACTGAAACCTGTAAAAATAATCTGAATATCACCACACAAAAGCTAGAAAGAAGCTATCTGTGAAACTGCTTTGTAATGTGGTGAATCACCTCACAGAGTCAAACCTTACTTTTCATTCAGCCTGTTGGAAACACTATTTTTAGAGAATCTGTGAAGGGACATTTGGAAGAACATTGAGACTAATGGAGAAAAACTGAATATCCTCATATAAAAACTAGAAAGAAGCTGTATGTGAAACTGCTTTATGATGTGTGGACTCACCTCACAGAGTTAAACATTTCTTTTCATCCTGCAGGTTGGAAACAATCTTTTTGTAGAATCTGCCAGGGGACAATTTGGGAACGTATTGAGGCCTGTTTGGAAAAACCAAATATTCCCTGAAAAAAACTAGAATGAAGCTATGTGTGAAGCTGCATGGTGATGTGTGGATTCATCTCACAGAGTTAAACATTTCTTTTCATTCGGCAGGTTGGAAACACCCTTTTTAGAGAATCTTTGAAAGAACGTTTGGAAGCCCATTGAAGCCAATTTGGAAAAACAGAATATTGCCAAATAAAACAAAAACTAGAAAGAAGAGGTCTGTGAAATTGCTTGGTGATGAGTAAATTCAACTCACAGAGTTAAACCTTCGTTTTGATCCAGCAGGTTGGAAAAACTTTTTGTAGATTCTGTGAAGGAATGTTTGGGAGCCCATTGGGGCCTGTAAGTAAAAATCAAATATCCCCAGAAGAAAACTAGAAATAAGCTATCTGGGAAACAGCTTTGTGATGTGTGAATTCATCTCACAGAGTTAAACCTTTCCTTTGAATCAGCAGGTTGGAGAAATTATTTGTAGAGAAACCGTTAAGGGACATTTGTGAGCCCATTGAGACCTATGGGGAAAAAATGAATATCCCCATAAAACTAGATAAAACTAGTTTTATCCCAGATAAAAACTAGAAAGGAGCTTTCTGTGAAGGTGCTTTGGGATATGTGGATTCATCCCACAGAAATAAACCTGTCTTTTGATTCAGCAAGTTGGAAACACTCTTTTTGGAGAATCTGCGAAAGGACATTTAGGAGCCCATTGAGGACTATCGGGAAAAATTGAATATCCCCAAATAAAAACTAGAAAGAAATTATCTTTGCAACTGCTTTGTGATGTGTGAGTTGATCTCACAGAGTTTTACCTTTGTTTTGATTCAGGAGATTGGAAACACTCTTCTTGGAGAATTTTCAAAAGAATCTTTGGGAGCCCACTGAAGCCCTTTTTGAGAATAAAATAATGAAAGATAAAAACTAGAGAGAATCTATCTGTGAAACTGCTTTGTGATGTGTGAATTCATCTCACAGAGTTAAACCTTTCTTTTATTCAGGAGGTTGGAAATACTCTTTTTATAGGATATGCAAAGAAATATTCGGGAGCCTAGTGAGGCCTATGTTTAAAAACCAAATATCACCAGATAAAAACTAGAAAGAAGCTATCTGTGAAACTTCTTTATGATGTGTAGATTCATCTCACAGAGTTAAAGATTTCTTTTGATGCAGCAGGTCGAAAACACCATTTGTAGAAAATCTGCAAAAGGACATTTGGGAACTTATTGAGACCTAAGGGGAAAAACAAAATTATTATTCCAGATAAAAACTTAAAAGGAGCTATCTGTGAAACTCTTTTGTGATGTGTGGATTAATCTCTGATAGGTAAACTTTTCTTTTGATCCAGCAGGTTGGAAACATTCTTTTTGGAGAATTGATGAACGCACATTTGGAAATCCATTGAGGCCTATGGGGAAAACTGAATATCCCCAGAAGAAAACTAGAAAGAAGCTATCGGAGAAGTTGCTTTGTGTTGTGTAGATTCATCTCACCGAGTTAAAGCGTTTTTTGATTCATCAGATCAGAAACACTGTTTTTGGAGAACCTGCAAAACAATATTTGGGAACCCATTGAGGCCTATTGGAAAAAACTAAATATCCCCAGATAGAGACTAGAAAGAAGATATCTGTGAAACTGCTTTTTGATGTGTGGATTCATCTCACAGAGTTAAACCTTTCTCTTGATTCAGCAGGTTGGAAACACTATTTTTAGAGAATCTGTGAAGGGATATTTGGGAAACTATTGAAATCTATGGAGAAAAACTGAATATCCCCAGATAAAACCTAGAAAGGAGCTGTCTGTGAAACGGTTTTGTCATGTGAGGATTGAGCTCACAGATTTAAACCCTTCTTTTGATCCTGCAGATTGGAAACACTCCTTTTGGAGATTCTGCACAGGAACATTTCGAAGCCCATAAGGCCTATGCAGAAAAACTGAATATCCCCAGATGAAAGTAGAAAGAAGTTATCTGTGAAACTTCTTTGTGATGTGTGGATTTATCTACAGAGTTAAACCTTTCCTCTGATTCAGCAGAATGGAAACACTCTTCTAGTAGAATCTGCAAAAGGACATTTGGGAGCCATTTGGGGCCTATGGGGAAAAACCAAATATCCTCAGATAAAAAGTAGAAAGAGTCTGTCTGTGAAAGTGCTTTGTGATGTGTGGATTCATCCTGCAGAGTTAAACCTTTTTTTTGATTCAGCAGATTGGAAACAGTCTTTTTGGAGAACCTGCAAAGGGAAATTTGAGAGCTCAATGAGGCCTAAAGGAAAAACCGAATATACGCAGATAAAAACTAGAAAGAAGCTATCTGTGAAACTGCTTTGTGACGTGTGGATTCATCACAGAGAGTTAAACCTTTCTTTTGATTAAGCAGTTTGTTAAAACTCTTTCAGTAGAATCTGTGAGAGGACATTTTGAAACCCATTGAGGCAGATGGGGAAAAATAAAATATCCACAGATAAAAACGAGAAAGAGGCTATCATCTGTGAAACTGCCTTGTGGTGTGTGGATTCAGCTCACAAAGTTAAACCATTCTTTTGATTCAACAGGTGGGAAACACTCTTTTAGGACAGTCTGTGAAAGGACATTTTGGAGCCCATTGAGGCCTATGGAGACAAACAGAATATCCCCAGATAAAAACTAGAAAGAACCTGTCTTTGAAACTGCTTCATGATGTGTGGATTCACCTCACAGAGTTTAACCTTTCTTTTGATTCAGAATGTTGGAAACATTCTTTTTGGAAAATCTGCACAAGAACACTTAAGAGACCATTAGTTCCAACGGGGCAAACCCAAATATCCACAGATAAAAATGAGAAGGAAGCTACTTCTAAAACTGCTTTGTGGTGTTTGGATTATTCTTACAGAGTTAAACATTTCTTTTGATTCAGCAGGTTGGAAACACTCTTTTTGGAGAATCTTCGAAGTGACAATTGGGAGCCTAATGAGGCCTAAGGGAAAAAAACCGAAAATCCAGACATAAAAACTACAAAGAAGCTATCTGTGAAACTCCTTTTTGATGTGTGGATTCATCTCACAGAGTTAAACCTTTGTTTTGATTCAACTGGTTGGAAGCACTCTTTATGGACAATCTGTGAGGGATATTTTGGAGACCATTGAGGCCTATGGGGTAAATCCAAATATACCCAGATAAAAACTAGAAAGAAGCTATCTGTGAAACTGCTTTGAGATGTGTGGTTTCTTCTCACAAAGTTAAACCTTTATTTTGATTTAGCAGATTGAAAATTCGCATAGTCTGCAAAGGGATATTTGGGAGCCCATTGAGATCTATGGGGAAAAACAGAATATCCCCAGATCAAAACGAGAAAGAAGTTATCTGTGAAACTGCATGGTGATGTGTCAACTTATCTCACAGAATGAAACCTTTATTTTGATTCAACAGGTTGGAAACTCTATTTTTGTAGAATCTTCAAAAGAACATTTCGGAGCCCATGATGCCTATGGGGTAAAACAGAATGTCCCCATATAAAGACTAGAAAGAAGCTATCTGTGAAACTGTTTTGTGGTGTGTAGATTCATCTCTCAGAGTTAAATCTTTATTTTGATTCGGCAGGTTGGAAACACTCTTTTTGATAATCTTCAAAAGATCATGTGGGAGCCCATTGAGGCCAATTTGGGAAAATTGAATATTCTCAGATAAAAACAAGAAAGAAACTATCAGTGAAATTGCTTTTTGATGTGTAAATTTATCTCACACAGTTAAACATTTATTTTGGTGTATTTGGTTGAAAACACTCTATTTGGAGAATATGCGAAGGGACACTTAGGAGCCCATAGGCTTATGAAGAAGAAGCAAAAATCGACAGATAAAAACTAGAAAGAAGCTATCTGTGAAATTGCTTTGTGATGTGTGGCTTCTTCTCACAAAGTTAAACCTTTATCTTGATTCAACAGGTTGGAAACATTATTTTTGGAGAATCTGTGAGGGAAAATTTTGGAGCCCACTGAGGCCAATGTGGAGAAACAAAATATTCCTAGATAAAAACTAGACAGAAGCTATCTGTGAAACTGATTTGTGATGTGTGGATTCAACTCACAGAGTTAATCCTTTCTTTTGAATCCATAGGTAGAAAACACTCTTTTTAGAGTATCTGTGAAGGGACGTTTGGGAGCCTGTTGTGAACTATGGAGAGAAGCTTAATATCCCCAGATAAAACTAGAAACAAATTGTATTTGAAACTGTTCTGTGATGTTGGATTGATCTCACAGATTTAAACCTTTCCTTTCATCAGGCAGGTTGGAAACACTCTTTTAGTGGTATCTGCAAAGAGATATTTGGGAGCCCTTTGAGGCCTATGGGTAAAAACTGAGTATCCCAAATTGAAAACTAGAAAGAAGCTATCTGTGAAACTGCCTCATGATTTGTGGATTCATCTCACAGAATTAAATTTTTCTTATGATTCAGGGGGTTGGAAAGACTGTTTTTGGAGAATCTGTGAAGGGACATTTGGGAGCCCATTGAGGCCTACGGGGAAAAACACAATATCCCCAGATAAAAACTAGAAAGAAGATTTCTGTGAAACTGCTTTGTGATGTGTGGATTTGTCTCACAGAGTTAACCCTTCATTTGATTCAGCAGGTTGGAAACACTGTTTTTGGAGAATGTTAGAAAGGATGTGTGGGGGCCCTTTGAGGCATATGGGGAAAATCTGATTATACCTAAAGAAAAACTAGAAAGTATCTAACTGTGAAACTTCTTTGTGATGTTTATATCCGTCTCCCAAAGTTAAAACTTTCTATTGATTCAACAGGTTGGAATCACCTTTTTTAGAGAATCTGTGAAGGGACATTTGAAAGCCCCTTGAGACCTCTGTGGCAAAACCAAATATCCCCAGATAAAAACTAGAAAGAATTCCTCTGTGAAACTGCTTTGTGCTATGTGGATTCATGTCACAGAATTAAACCTTTCTTTTGTTTCTGCAGGTTGGAAATGCTGTTTTTGGATAATCTATGAAAAGACATTTGGGAGCCCATTGAGGCCTGTGGGAAAAAACCCAAATATCCCCAGCTAAAAACTAGAAAGAAGCTTTCTGTGAAATGGCTTTGTGACCTATGGTTTCATCTCACAGAGTAAAACCTTTCTGTTGATTCAGCAGGTTGGAAATACTGTTTTGCAGAAACTGCGAAGGGACATTTCGGAGCTGATTGAGGCCTGTGGGGAAAAAGAGATCATCCCGTCATAAGAACTACAGAGATTATATCTGTGAAACTTCTTTGTGATTTTGGATTCATCTCACAGAGTTAAACACTTGTTTTGTTTCAGAAGGTTGGAAACACTCTAATTGCAGGATCTGCAAAATGACATTTGTGAGCTCATTGAAACCTGGGGGAAAAACTGAATATATTCAGATGAAAAGTATAAAGAAACCGTCAGTGAAATAGCTTTGTGATGTGAGGATTCATCTCACAGATTTAAACCTTTCTCTTGATTAAGCAGGTTGCAAATACTCATTTTGGAGAATTTGTGAGGGGACATTTGGGAGCACATTGAAAGTTGTGGGGCTAAACTGAATATTTCAGATAAAAACTAGAAAGACACTATCTTTGAAACAGCTTTGTGATATGTGGATTCATCTCACATGGTTAAACTTTTCTTTTGATTCAGCAAGCTGGAAACATTCTTTTTGGAGAATCTGTGAAAGGGCGTTCGGGAGCCCATTGTGGGCTTTTGGGAAAAACGAAACATCCCCAGATAAAATCTAGAAAGAAGCTATCTAAGAAACTGTTTTTTTGATGTATGGATAGATGGCAGAGAGATAAAAATTTCTGGTGATCCAGGTGGTTGGGAACACTTTTTGTAGAATCTGTGATGGGACATTTGGTAGACCTTTGAGCCCCATGGGTAAAAAAAATTCCAAGTTAAAAACCAAAAAGAAGTCATATGTGAAAGTGCTTGGTGTTGTGTGGATTCATATCACAGGGTTAAACATTTATTTTGATCCAGCAGGTTGGAAATTCTTTAATTGGAGAATCTGTGTAAACATATATAGAAGCCCACAGAGGCACATAAAAAAAAAACCAAGGATCTTCCCAGATAAAAAATAAAAAGAAACTATCTGTGAAACTGCTCTGTGATGTGTGGATTCATCTCACAGAGTTAAACCTTTCTTTTGATTCATCAGGTTGAACAAACTGTTTTTGGAGACTCTGTGAAGGGATGTTTGGGAGCCCATTGAAGCCTCTGTGGAAAAACAGAAAATCTCCAGATAAAAATTAGAAAGAGACTATCTGTGAAACATCTTTGTGATGTGTGGATTCATCTTACAGAGTTAAAAGTTAGTTTTCATTCAGCAGGTTAGAATCACTTTTTTTGTAGTCTGCAAAGGGATATTTGGAAGCTCATTGGAGATTATTGGAAGAACTGAATATCCCCAGATAAAAAGTAGAAAGAAGCTATTTGTGAAAATTCATTGTGATGTGTGAATTCATCTCAAGGAGTTAATCCATTCTTTTGATTCAGCAAGATGGAAACACTATTTTTGGAAAAACTAGAAAGAAGCTATCTGTGAAACTGCTTTCTGATGTGTAGATTCATCTCAGAGTGTTAAACATGTCTTTTGATTCAGCAGGTTTGAAACACTCTTTGTGGAGACTCTGCAAAGAAACATTTGGAAGCCCATAGAGGCCTATGGGAAAAAACTGAATATCCCCAGATAAAAATTAGAAAGAATCAATCTGTAAAACTGTTTTGTGATATGTGGCTTCATCTCACAGTGTTAAAAGTTTTTTATCCAGCAGGTTGGAAACACTCTTGGAGAATCTGCGAAGGGAAACTTGGGAGCCCATATACACTTAAGTGAAAAAAACTAATATCCCCAGATAAACACTAGAAAAAAGCTATATGTGAAACTCCTCTGTGATGGAAGAATTGAGCTCATAGAGATGAACTTTTCTTTTCATCCAGCATATTGGAAACACTCTGTTTGTAGAATCTGCAAATGAACTTTTGGGAGCCCATTTTGGCCTATGGGTAAAAATCTAATACCCCAGTTAAAGACTAGTAAGAAGATATCTATGAAATGGCTTTATGTTGTGTGAATTTATCTCACAGGGTTAAATCTTTCTTTGGGAAAACTTATTGAGGTCTCTGTGGAAAAACAAATTATCCCCAGACAAAAACTAGAAAGAGGCTATCTGTGAAACGGCTTTCTGATGTGTAGATTCACCTCAAAATGTTAAACCTTTCTTTTGATTCAGCATGTTGGAAACACTCTTTGTAGAACCTGTGAAGAGACATTTGGAGTCCTTTCAGGCCTATGGGGAAAAACAGAATATGCCCAGACAAAAACTAGAAAGAAGCTCTCTGTGAAACTGCTTTATGGTGTGTAGATTCATCTCACAGAGTTCAACCTTTATTTTGATTCCGCAGATTGGAAACACTCTTTTTAGAGAATCTCTGAAGAGAAGTTTGGGAGCCCATTGAGAGCTGTGGGTAAAAACCAAATATCCCTAGATAAAAACTAGAAAGTAGCTATCTATGAAACTGCTTTGTGATGTGTGGATTCATCTCAGACAGTTAAACATTTCTTTTCATTTAGCAGGTAGGAAACAAGCTTTTTGGAGAATGTTTGAAGAGACTTTGGGGGCCCATTGAGGCCTCTGGGGAAAAACAGATTATCCCTAAAGAAAAACTAGAAAGAACCTATCTGTGAAACTACTTTGTGATATGTAAATTCATCTGCCACAGCTAAACCTTTCTATTGATTCATCAGGTTGGAAACACTTTTTTTGGAGAATCTGTGAAGAAATATTTGAAAGCCCATTGATTCCTAGGTGACATAACAGAATATCCCCAGATAAAAAGTATAAGGAAGTTATATGTGAAAATGCTTTGTGATACGTGGATTCATCTCACAGAGTTAAAATTTTTTTTGGCTTCACCTGGTTGAGAACACCCTTTTTGGAAAATTGGCAAAGGGACATTTGGGGACCCATTGTAGCCTAATTAAATAAAAACCAATTACCCCAGATAAAAACAAGAGAGAAGCTATCTGTGAAACGGCTTAGTGATGAGTGGGTTCATCGCACAGTTAAATCTTTCTGTTGACTCAGTAGGTTGGAAGCTCTCTTTTTGGCAAATATTCAAAGGGACATTTCGGAGCCCATTGAGGCCTATGGAAGAAAACAGAAAAAAAAAAACTAGAAACAAGCTATCTGTAAAAATGCTTTCTGATGTGTGTTTCCATCTTACAGAGATAAACCTTTGTTTTTATTCAGTAGATTGGAAACACTTTTTTGGAGAACTTTTGAAGAATCGTTTGGGAGCCCATTTAGCCCTATGGGGGAAAATGAAATATCTTTAGAGAAAAAGTAGAAAGAAGCTCTCTTCATATCTTCTTTCTGATGTGTGGATTCATCTCAAAGAGTTAAACCTTTCTATTGATTCAGCAGGTTGGAAACACTCTTTTTGGAGAATCTGCAATGGGACATTTGGGAGCCTATTTAGGCCTATGGGACAATACCGACTATCCCCAGATAAAAACTAGAAAGATGCTATCTGTGAAACTGCTTTGCAATGTGAGGATTCATCTCACAGTGTTAAAACTTTCTTTTGATTCTGCAGGTTTGAAACACCCTTATTGGATAATCTGTGAAGGGACATTTGGGAGCCATTGAGGCCTATGGAAAAATACAGAACATGCCCAGATAAAAACAAGAATGGAAATATCTGTGAAACTTATTTGTGATGTGTGGATTCCTCTCACAGAATTAAACCTTTCTATTGATTCATCAGGTTTGAAACACTATTTTTGGAGAATTTGTTAAGGGACCTGTGGGAGCCCATTGAGGGCTATGGGGAAGAACAAAATATCCCCAGGTAAAAACTGGAAAGAAACTCTGTGTAAAACTTTATTGTGAGATGTGGAATCATCTCACGGAGTAATCTTTTCTTTTGACTTAGTAGGATGGGAATACTCTTTTTAAAGAACCTGTGAAGGGACATTTGGGAGCCCTTTTTGGCCTATGAGGAAAAACAAAATATCCCAGATAAAAACTAGAAAGAAGTTATATGTGAAACTGCTTTGTGATGTGGGGATTCTTCTCACAGACTTAAACCTTTCTTTTGATTCAGAAGGTTGGAAGCACTCTTTCTGGAGAATCTGTAGAGGGACATTTTGGAGTCCTCTGAGGCCTGTAGATAAAAACAGAATATCCCCAGATAAAAATTAGAAAGAAAATATCTGTGAAACTGCTTTGTGATTTGTGGATGCATCTCACTGAGTTAAATCTTTATTTTGATTCAGCAGGTTGGAAACGCTCTTCTTTGACTATCGGCGAAGAAACATTTGGAAGTTCATTGCAGCCTATGGGAAAAACAGAATATCCCCAGAAAAAATTAGAAAGAATATATCTGCAAAACTGCTTTGTGATGTGTGGATTCATCTCACAGAGTTAAAACTTTCTTTGGAACTAGCAGGTTGGAAACACACTTCCTGGAAAATCTGTGAATGGAAATTTGTGATCCCTTTATGGCCCATGGGTAAAAATTGAATGTCCCCAGATAAAAACCAGCAGGAAGCTATCTGTGAAGCTGCTTTGTATTGCGTGGATTTATCTCACAGAGTTAAACCTTTCTTTTGATTCTGCATGTTGGAAACACTCTTTCTGGAGAAACTGCGAGGGACATTTGGGAGCATACTGAGGTCTATATGAAAAAACTGAATATGCTCATATAAAAACTAGAAAGAAGTTATCTGTGAAACGGCTTTGTGATGTGTGGATTCATCTCAAAACATCAAACATTTATTTTTATTCAGCAGGTTGGAAACACTCTTCTTGGAATATCTGCGAAGGGACATTTGGGAGACCATTTAGGCCTATGGGGAAAAACCTAATATCCCCAGATAAAAACTACAAAAAAGCTATCTATGAAACTGCTTGGTGATGTGTGGATTCTTCTCACAGAGTTAAATTTTTCTCTTGATTCAGCATGATGGAAACACTCTTTTTGGAGAATCTGCGAAGAAACATTTGGGAGGCCATTGTGGCTTATGGGGAAAAACTGAATACCCCAGATAAAAACTAGAAAGAAGCTATCTGTGAAACTGCTTTGTGATTTGTGGAAGCATCTCACAGAGTTAAACATTAATTTTGATTCAGCAGGCTGGAGATACTCTTTTTGTGGAATTTGTGAAGGGACATTGGGGAGCTCAAGGAGGCCTCATAGGAAAAACTGAATATCCCCAGATTAAAACCAGAAAGAAGCTGTCTGATAAACTACTTTTTGAAGTGTGGATGTTTCTCGCATAGTTAAACATCTCTTTTAATTCAGCAGGTTGGAAAAATCATTTTGGAGAATCTGCAAAGGGACATTTTGAAGCCATTTGAGGCGTATGGGTAAAACGGATTATCCCTAGATAAAAAGTAGAAAGAAGCTCTCTGTGTAACTGCTTTGTGATGTGTGGATTCATCTCATGGAGTGGAACCTTTCTTTTGATACAGCAGGTTGGAAACACTGTTATTGCAGAATCTGCAAAGGGACATATAGGAACACATTGACTCCTAAGGGGATAAATCAAATATCCCAAGACAAAAACTAGAAGGACGTATCTGTGAAACTGCTTTGTGATGTGTGGATTCTTCTCACGGACTTAAAACTTTCTTTTGATCCAGCAGATTGGAAAAACTCTTTTTGGAGAATCAGCAAAGGGACATTTGGGAGCTCATTGAGGCCAATGGGGAAAAACAAATAATCCCCAGATAAAAACTAGAAAGAAGCTATCATTGAAATTCCTTTGTGATTTGTGAATTCATGGCACAGAGTTAAACCTCACTTTTGATCCAGCAGGTTGGAAACACTCTTTTTGTAAAATCCATGAAGGCACTCCTGGAAGCCCATTAAGACCTACAAGTAAAAACCAATAGTCCCCAGAAAAAACTAAAAAGAAGCTATCTGTGACACTGCTTTCTGAAGTGTGGATTCATCTACCATAGTTAAACCTTTCTTTTGATTCAGTAGGTTGGAAACATTCTTTTTGCAGAATCTGCAAAAAGACATTTTGGAGCCCTTTAAGTCCTGTGCAGTAAAACTGAATATCCCCAGAAAAAAATGAAATAGAAGCTATCTGTGAAACTGCTTTGTGATGGGTGGATTCATATCACAGAGTTAAACCTTTCTTTTTATTCAGAAGCTTAGAAACACTCTTTTTGGTGAATCTACAACCTGACAATTGGGACTCAACTGAGGCTTATGGGAAAAAAAAATATCCTTATATAAAAACCAGAAAGAAGCTATCTGTAAAACTCCTTTGTGATTTGTGTATTCATCTCACAGTGTTTAACATTTCTTTTTATGCAGCAGGTTGGAAACACTGTTTTTGGATCAGCTGTGAAAAGCACATTGAAGTTTATGGGAAAAAAACTATCCCCAGATAAAAACTGGAAAGAAGTTATTTGTGAAACTGCTTTGTGATATGAGATTTCCTCTCACAGACTTAAAACTTTCTTTTGATTCAGCAGGTAGGAAACTCTCTTTTTGGAGTATCTGTGAAGGGACATTTGAAAGCCCATTGGAGCCTATGGGGTAAAACTGAATATCCCAAAATAAAAAGAAGAAAGAAGCTATCTTTGAAAATGCTTCATCATGTGTGGATTCGTCTCACAGAGTTAAAAATTTCCTTTGATTCAGCAGGTTGGAAACACTCCTTTTTGAGCATCTGTGAAAAGATATTTTGGAACCCATTGTAGTCTGTCAGGAAAAACAGAATATCCCCAGATAGAAACTAGAAAGAAGCTATCTGTGAAACTGCTTTTGAAGTGTGGATTCATCTCTCAGAGTTAAACTTTTCTATTGATTCAGCAGGTTGAAAAACTCTTCTCCCTGAATCTCTGAAGGGACTTTGGGGAGCATATTGAGGCCTATTGGGCAAAACTGAATATCCCCCCTACCAAAAAAAAAAAAAAAAAAAAACTACAAATAACCTATATGTGAAATAGATTTTTAATGTGTGGATTCTTCTCACAGAGTAAAACTTTTCTTTTGATTCAGCCGATAGGAAACACTGTTTTTGGAGAATCTGCAAAGTGACATTTTGGAGCCCATTGAGGCCTGTTGGGAAAAAACGAATATCCCCATATAAAAACTAGAAAGAAGCTGATAGTGATCCTGCTTTGGGATGTGTGGATTCATCTCAGAGAGTTAAAACTTTCTTTTGATTCAGCAGGTTCAAAACACTTTTCTTGGAGAATCTGAGAATGGACATTTAGGTGCCCATTGAGGCCTATGTGGAAAAAATGAACACTGAGAAAAAATTAGAAAGAAGCTATTTGTGAAACAGCTTTGTGATGTGTGAATTCATCTCAAAGAGTTAAGCCTTTCTGTTGATCCAGCAGGTTGGAAACACTCTTTTTGAAGTATCTTTGAAGGAACATTTGAGAGCCCTTTGAGGCCTATGGGGAAAAACCAGATTTCCCCAGATAGAAAGTAGAAAAAAGCTATCTGTGAAACTGCTTTGTGATGTGTGAATTCACCTCACAGAGTGAAAGTGTACCTTTGATTCAGCAGGTTGGAAACACTCCTTTTGGAGAATCTGTGAAGGAACATTTCGGAGCCCATTGAGACCTATATGGAAAAAGGAAATATCTCCAGATAAAAACTAGAAAGAAGCTATCTGTGAAACTGATTTGTGATGTGCGGATCCATCTCACAGAGTTAAAACTTTCCTTTGATTCAGCAGGTCGGAAACACTCTTTTTGGAGCATCTGCAGAAAGACATTTCAGAGCCCATTGTGGCCTTTCAGGAAAAACAGAATATCCCCAGGTAGAAATTGAAAGAAGCTATATGTGACACTGCTCTTTGAAGTGTGGATTCATCTCACAGAGCTAAATGTTTCTTTTGATTCAGCAGGTTGAAAAAACTCTTTTCCGAGAATCTCCAAAGGGACATTTGGGAGCACATTGAGGCCTATGGTGCAAAACCAAAAATCCCCTCCAAAAAAACTAGGCAGAAGTTATCTATGAAACAGATTTTTAAGTGTGAATTTATCTCACAGAGTTAAAACTTTCTTTTGATTCAGAAAGTAGGAAACACTCTTTTTGGAGAATCTGCATAGAGACATTTGAGAGCCCATTGAGGCATATGGATAAAAATCAAATATCCTTAGATGAAAACTAGAAAGAAGCTATCTGTGAAAGTGTTTGTGATACATGGATTCATCTCACAGATTTAAATCAATCTTTTAATTCCCCAGGTAGGAAACACTCTTTTTGGAGAATCTGTGAAGGGATATTTGGGAGCCCATTGAGGCCAATGAAAAAAAACACCAGATAAAAACTAGAAAGTGCCTATCTTTGAAACGTCTTTGTGATGTGTGGATTCTTGTCACAGAGTTAAACCTTTCTTTTGATTCAGCAGTTTGGAAACAGTCTTCTTGGAGGATCTGTGTAGGGTCATTTCAGGGCCCATTGACGTCTATGGGGAAACACAAAATATCCCTAGACAAATACTAGAAAGAAATAATTCATAAAACTTATTTATGATGTGTGGATTCATCTCAGAGAGTTAAACCATTCTTTTGATTCAGCAGGTTGGAAACACTCTTTTTAAAGAATCTGCAAAGGGACAATTAGGAGCCCTCTGGGACCTGTGGGAAAACACCAAATATCACGAGATAAGAACTAGAAGGGAGGTATCTGTGAAACTGCTTTGTGAGGTGTGGATTAATCTCACAAAGTTAAACTTTTTTTTGATTCAGCTGGTTGGAAACGCTATTTTTGGAAAATCTGTGAATGGACATTTGGGAGCCCTTTGAGGCCTAAGGGGAAAAATTGAACATACCCATATAAAAACTAGAAAGAAGCTATATGCTAAACTGCTTTGTGATGTGTGGATTCATCTCACAGAGTTAAACCTTTCTTTTCATTCATCCAGTTCTAAACACTTTTTTTGGAGAATCTGCAAAGGGACATTTGGTAGCCCTTTGAGGCCTATGGGGAAAAACTGAACATCTCCAGATGAAAACTAGAAAGAAGCTATGTGTGAAACTGCTTGTGATGTGTGGATTCATCTCACAGAGTTTAAAGTTTCCTTTGATTAATTAGGTTGAAAATGCTATTTTTGCAGAATCTGCAAAAAGACATTTTTAAGCCCATTGAGGCCTAGGTGGCAAAATTGAATGTCCCAAGATAAAAACTAGAAAGAAGCTGTCTGTAAAACTGCTATAAGATGTGTGAATTCATCACACAGAGTTATACATTTCTTTTGATTCAGCTTGTTGGAAACATTCTTTTTAATGAATCCATGAAGAGACATTTGGGAGCCCATTGGGGCTTATGGGGAAAAACTGAATATTTGCAAATAAAAAGTAGATAGGAGTTATCTGTGAAACTGCTTTGTGATATGTGAATTCATCTCACAGAGTTAAACATTTCTCCTGATTCAGCAGGTTGGAAAAACTCTTTAAAGAGAATCTGCTAAAGGATATTTGGGAGACCTTTGAGGACAATGGGGCAAAATTGAATGTTCCCAGATCAAAACTAGAAAGAAGCTATCTGTGAAACTGCTTTTTGATTTCTGGATTCCTCTCACAGAGTTTAACCCTTCTTTTGAATCAGCAGCTTTTAAACACTCTTTTTGGAGTATCTGTGAAGGGACAGTTTGGATCCCATGGAGGCCTATGGAGAAAAACTGAATATTTCCAGACAAAAGCTAGAAAGCAGCACATTGAGACCTATGGGAAAAAAATGGATATCCCCACATAAAATCTAGAAAGAAGCTATTTTTGAAACTGCTTTGTGTTGTGTGGATTCATCTCACAGAGTTTAATCTTCTCGTCATTCTTCAGGTGGAAAACTCTCTTTTTTGAGAATCTGTGAAGGGACATTTGGGCCGTTCGATACCTCTAGGGAGAGCAAAATATCCACCAATAAACACCAGAAAGAAACAATCTATGAAACTGCTTTCTGATGTCTGGATACATCTCACAGAGGTAAAATTTTCTTTTGATTCAGCAGTTTGGAAACACTATTTTT
Organism: Homo sapiens; assembly: GCF_000001405.40. Lineage (NCBI taxonomy): Eukaryota > Metazoa > Chordata > Mammalia > Primates > Hominidae > Homo > Homo sapiens. The sequence continues at coordinate 43,807,989 of NC_000008.11, forward strand.
GTAGAATCTATGAAGGGACATTTCAGAGCCCTTTGAGGCCTATTGAGAAAAAATGAATATCCCCAAATAAAAACCAGAAAGAAGCTATTTATTTGTGAAAATGCTTTGTGATGTGTGGATTCATCTCAGAGTTAAACCATGCATTTGATTCCACAGGTTGGAAACACTCTTTTTGCAGAATCGTTGAAGAAACAATTGGGAACCCATTGAGCTCTATGGGGAAATACTTAATATCCCAAGATAAAAACTAGAGTGAACATATCTGTGAATCTGCTTTGTGATGTGTGGATTCATCTAAAGAGTTAAAAGTTTGTTTTGATTTAGCAGGTTGGAGACACTTTTTTTCTAGAATCTACTATGTGACATTTGGAACTTATTGAGAGCTATGGGAAAAGACAAATTATCCCAAGATAAAAACTAGAAAGAAACTCTCTGTGAAACTGCTTTATGATGTGTGGATTCATCTCACAGACTTAAAATTTTCTTTTGATTGAGCATGTTAGAAACACTCTTTTTGGAGTATCTGCCAAGGGACACTTGGGAACCCACTGAGGCCTGTGGAGAACCACAGAATATCCAGAGACAAAAATTAAGCAAAACTGTCTGTGAAAGTGCTTTTTGACGTGTAGATTCCTCTCACATAGTTAAACCTTTCTGTAGATTCAGCAGTTTTGAAACACTATTTGGAGAATCTGTGAAGGGATATTTTGAAGCCCATAGAGGCCTACCAAAAAAAAAACCTAAATATCCCCAGATAAAATCTAGAAACAAGCTATCTTTGAAATTACTTTGTGATGTGTGGATTCATCTCTCAGAATTCAACGTTTCTTTTAATCCAGCAGGTTGGAAACACTCTTTTCAAAGTATCTGTGAAGGGATATTTGGGAACCCCTTGAGGCATGTGGGGAAAAACAGAATATCCCCAGAGAAAAACTAGAAAGAAGCTACTTGTGAAACTGCCTTGGGATGTGTGGATTCATTGCATGGAGTTAAATGTTTCTTTTGATTTAGGAGGTTGGAAACACTCTTTTTAAAGAATCCGTGAAGGGACATTTGGAAGCCCTCTGAGACCTGTGGAAAAACACAGAATATCCCGAGATAAAAACTAGAAGGAAGGTATCTGTGAAACTGCTTGGTGAGGTGTGGATTCATCTCACAAAGTTAAACATTTTTTTTTGATTGTGCTGGTTGGAAACACTATTTTTGGAAAATCTGTGAATGGACATTAGGGAGCCCTTTGAGACCTATGCAGAAAAATTGAACATCCCCAGATAAAAACTAGAAAGAAACTATCTCTGAAACTGCTTTGTGATGTGTGGATTCATCTCACCGAGTTAAACCTTTCTTTTGATTAGGCAGGTTGGAAAAACTTATTTTGGAGAATCTGCAAAGGGGCATTTCAGAATCCATTGATGCCTATGGGGAAAAACTGAATATCAGTAGATAACAACTAGAGAGAAGTTACCAGTGAAACTACTTTGTGATGTGTGAATTCATGTTAAAGAGTAAAACCTTTATTTTTCTTCAGCATGTTGGAAGCACTCTTTTTGGAAGATCTGTGAAAGGACATTTTGGAGACCATTGAGGCCTACAGGGAAAAACCGAATTTCCCAGATAAAAACTGGAAAGAAGATATCTGTGAAATTGTTTTACAATGCGTGGCTTCATCTCACAGTTAAACATTTTTTTTTTTATTCAAGAGGTTGGAAACACTCTTGTTGGAGAATTCTCAAAGGGACATTTGGGAGCCCACTGAGTCCTGTGGGGAAACACCAAATATCCACAGATAAAAACTAGAAGGAAGCTATCTGTGAAACTGTTTTGTGATGTTTGGATTCATCTCTAAGCAGCAAACGTTTCTTTTGATTCAGCACGTTGGAGACAGTCTTTTTGGAGTATCTGCAAGGAGATATTTGGGAGCCCACTGAGGCCTGTGGGGAAAAACAAACTATACCCAGACAAAAACTAGAAAGAAGTTTCCTGTGAAACTGCTTTGGGATGTGTGGAAGCACTGCAGAGAGTTCAAGTTTTCTTTTGATTCAGCAGGTTGGAAACACTCTATTTAGAGAATCTGCAAAAGAACATTTGAGAGCCCAATAAGCCCTTGGAAAAACACCGAATATCCCAAGATAAAAACTAGAAGGTAGCTATCTGTGAAAATGCTTTGTTATGTGTGGATTCATGTCACAGAGTTAAACATTTTGTTGGATGCATCAGGTTGGAAACACTCTTTTTGTAGAATTTGCTAATGGACTTATAGGAGTCCATTGAGGCCTATATTTAAAAAGTATATCCCCAAGTAAAAACAAGAAGCAATCTATCTGTAAAACTGCTTTCTGTTTTGTGGATTCATGTCACAGAGTTAAACTTTTCTTTTGATCTATCAGGTTGGTAACACTCTTATTGGAGAATCAGCGAAGGGAAATGTGGGAGCCTTTTTAGGCCTATGGGGAAAAACTCAATATTTCCAAATAAAAACCAGAAAGAAGCTATTTGTGAAACTGCCTTGTGATGCGTGGAGTCATCTCACAGTGTTAATTTGACTCAGTAGGTAGAAACACTCTTTGTGGAACCTGCAAAGGAGTATTTGGTAGCCCTTTGAGGCCTACTGAGAAAAACCTATTATACCCAGATAAAAACTAGAAAGAAGCTATCTGAGAAATTGCTTTGTGATGTGTGAATTCATATTACAGAGTTACAACTTTCTCTTGATTTTGCAGGTTGGAAACACTCTGTTTGGAATATCTGCAAAGGGACTTTTGGGAGCCCATTGAGGCCTATGGGGAAAAACCAAATATTCCCAGACAGAAACTAGAAAGAAGATATCTGTGAAACGCTTTGTGATGTTTGGAACCCTCTCACAGAGTTAAACCTTTATTTTTATTCAGGAGGATTTAAACACTCTTTTTGGAGAATCTTCAAAGGGACATTTGGGAGCCTATTGAGGCCTATGGAGAAAAACTGAATATTCCCACATAAATCTAGAAAGAAGCTATCTGTGAAACTGCTTTGTGATGTGTAGCTTCATCTCAAAAAATTAAACTTTTCTTTTGAATCACCACGTTGGAAACATTCTTCTTGGAGGATCTGGAAATGGACATTTGGAAGTCCATTGATGTCTGTGGAGAAAAAAAAATATCCCCAGACAAAAGTAGAAAGAAGCTGTCTGTGAAACTGCCTTGTGATATGTGGATCATCTCACAGAGTTAAACCTTACTTTAAATTCAGCCAGTTAAAAAACTTTTTTGGAGAATCTGCAAAGGGACGTTTGGGAGCCCATTTAGGCTTATGGAAAAAATGTAATATCCCCAGATAAAAATAAGAAAAATCTATTCTTGAAACTGCTTTGTGAGGTGTGGATTCACCTCCCAGGGTTAAAACTTTCTTTTGACTCAGAAGGTTGGAAACACTCCTTTTGGAGGATCTGCGAAGGGCCATTTTGAAGCCCATTGATGCTATTTTGTTAAACTAAATATCCCTAAATAAAAACTACAAAGAAACTATCTGTGAAACTGCTTTGTGATGTGTGGATTCATTTCACAGTGTTAAACCTTTCTTTTGAGTCAGCAGGTTGGAAATACTGTTTTTAGAGAATCTGCAAAGAAACATTTAGGAGCCCATTGAGGTCTCTGGGGAACAACAGAATATCCCAGATAAAAAGTAGAAAGAAGCTATCTGTGAAACTGCTTTGTGATGTGTGGATTCATCACACAGATTTAAACATTTCTTTAGATGCAGCCAGTTTGAAGCACTCTTTCTGGAGAATCTGTGAAGGGATATTTGAATCTCAATGTGGCATAGAAGGAAAAACTGAACATCCCCAGATAAAAACAAGAAAGAAGCTATCTGTTAATGGCTTTGTGGTGTGTGGATTCATCTCACTGACTTAAATCTTTCTTTGAACTCCGTATGTTGGAAGCACTCTTTTTGGTGGATCTGTGAAGGGACTTTTTGGAGCACATTGAGGCCTATGGGGGAAAATAAAATATCCCCAGATTAAATCTAGAAAGAAGCTTTGTGTGAAACTGCTTTGTGATGTGTAGATTCATCTCACAGCGTTGAACCTTTCTTTTGATTCAGCAGGTTGAAAACACTACTATTGGAGGATTTGTGATGGGACATTTGGGAACCCATTGAGGTCTATAGGGAAAAACCGAATATTCCTAGAAACAAAATTTGAAAATTATTTGCTGTGGAACTGATTTGTGATGTGTTAATTCATCTCACATAGGAAAAGATTTCTTTTGATTCAGCAGGTTGAAAACACTTTTTTTTGTACAATTTGCGAAGGGACATCTGGGAGCTCATTGAGGCCTATGGGGAAAAAACGAATATATCTAGAAAAAAATTAGAAAGAAGCCATTTGTGAAACTGCTTGGTGATATATCGATTTATCTCAAAGAGTTAAAGTTTCTTTTGATTCAGCAGGTTAGAAACACTCTTCCTAGAGAATCATTGCAGAGGTTTTATTGGCCCATTGAGGCCTATGGGGCAAAACCAAAAATCTCCAGATAAAAACTTGAAAGAAGGTATCTGTGAAACTGCTTTGTGATGTGTGGATTCATTTCACGATTAAACTTTCCTTTTGATTAAGCAGGTTGGAAACATTCTTTTTGGAGAATCTGTGGAGGGAAATTTTGGGAGTCCATTGAGGTCTGTGGGGAAAAACTGAATATCAGCAGATATACACCCAAATAAAAACTAGAAAGAAGGTATGTGTGAAACTGCTTTGTGATGTGTGGATTCATCAAACAGAGTTAAACTTTTCTCTTGTAGCAGGTTAGAAACTGTCTTTTGGTATACTCTATGAAGGGACAGTTTGGAACTCATAGAGGCCTATTTTTTTTCCTAAGGGGAAAAAAATATTCCCAGATGAAAACTAGAAAGAAGCTATCAGTGAAACTGCTTTGTGATGTGAGCATTCATCTTACAAAGGTAAAATTTTCTCTTGATTTAGCAGTTGGAGACACTCTTTTTGGAGAATCTTCAAAGGGACATTTGCGAACCCATTGAGTCCTACGGAGAAAACCAAATATCCCTTGATAAAAAAAACTAGACAGAAGCTCTCTGTGAAACTGCTTTGTGTTTTGTGAATTCATCTCATAAATTTACACCAAGCTTTTGATTCAGCAGGATGTAAGCACTGTTCTTGGAAAACCTGCAAGGGAACATTTCGGAGCCCACTGAGCCCTATTGGGAAGAACAAAAGATCCCCAGATAAAAACTAGAAAGAAGCTGTATGTGAAACAGTTTTGTGATGTCTGGATTCATTTCACAGGGTTAAACATTTTTTTTGATTCAGCTGGTTGAAAGAACTTTTTTTTGGAGAATCTGTGAAGGGACATGTGAGAGCCCACTGAGGCCTATGGGGAAACAAAATATCCCCAGATAAAAATTTGAAAGAATCTATCTGCAAAGCTGCTTTTTGATGTGTGGATTCAGCTCAGAGTGAAACCTGTCTTTTGATTCAGGATGTTGGAAACACTCTTTTTCAGCAATCTGCAAAGGGACTTTTGGGATCCCTATGAGGCCCATGGGGAAAAACAGAATATAGCCAGATAAAAACTAGAAAGACATTATCTGAGTAACTGATTTTTGATGTTTAAATTCATATCATAGCATTAAACTATTCTTTCAATTGTGTAGGTTGGAAACACTCTTTTTGGAGAAACTGCAAGGGGAATTTTAGAAGCCTATTGAGGCCTCTGAGGAAACATGGAAAATCCCCACATCAAAACTAGAAAGAAGCTATCTGTTAAACTGCTGCGGATGTGTGGATTCATCTTACAGAGATAAACCTTTCTTTTGATTCAGCAGGTTGGAAACGTCTTTTTGGAGAATCTGTGAAGGGTCTTTTGGGAGCCCATTGAGGCCTATGGGGAAAAACAGAATATACCCAGACAAAAACTAGTAAGAAGGTATCTGTGAAACTGCCTTGTGAAGTGTGAATTCATTTCACAGGACTAAAACTTTCGAGTGATACAGGAGGTTTGAAACATTCCTTTTGGAGAATCTGTGAAAGGACATTTTTTACCCCATTGAGGCCTGTGGGAAAAGTGAATATTGCCAGATGAAAACTAGAAAGAAGTTTTCTGTGGAACTGCTTTGCGATGTGTGGATGCCTTTCACAGAGTTAAACCTTTATTTTGATTCAACAGGTTGGAAACATTTCATTGGGAGATTCTGTGAAGGGACATTTTGGAGCAGATTGACACTTGCAGGGAAAAACAAAATATCCCCAGATAAAAACTATATAAGAAGCAACCTGTGAAACTGCTTTGTAATGTGTAGACTCACCTCACAGAGTTAAACTATTCTTTTGATTCAGCAGGTTTGGAAATACTCTTTTTGGAGAATCTGTGAAGAAACATTTGGGAGCCCACTGAGGCCTGTGGGGAAACACTGAATATCCAGAGGTAAAACCTAGAAGGAAGCTAACTGTGAAACTGCTTTGTGATGTGAGGATTCATCTCACAGTGTTAAAACTTTCTGTAGATTCAGCAGTCTTGAAACATTCTTTGGAGAATCTACGAAGGGACATTTGAAACCCATTGAGGCCTATGGAAAAAAACTGAGTATTCCCAGATAAAAACTAGAAAGAAGTTATCCGTGAAACTGCTTTGTGATGTTTGGATTCATCTCTCAGAAGTAAATGTTTCTTTTGATTTAGCAGGTTGGAAATATTCTTTTTGGAACGTCTGCAAAGGAACATTTGGGAACCCACTGAGGTCTGTGGGGAAAAACTGAATATCCTGAGACAAAAACTATAAAGAAGCTACCTGTGAGACTGCTTTCAGATGTGTGGATTCATCGCACAGGGTTAAATTTTATTTTGATTCAGCAGTTTGGAAACACTCTTTTTTTAGGAATCTGTGAAGGGACATTTGGGAGCCCACTGAGACCTGTTGAAACACACTGAATATCCTGAGATAAAAAATAGAAGAAAGCTATCTATGATGCTGATGTGTGATGGGTGGATTCATCTCACACAGTTAAAACGTTTTTGGGGTTCATAAGGTTGGAAACAATCTTCTCTGAGAATCTGCTAATGGATATTTTGGATCCCACTGATTCCTAAGGGAAAAAAATTAGTATCCCCAGAAAAACACTTGAAATAAGCTATCTGTGAAATTGGTTTGTGATGTGTGGAATCATCTCAGAGAGCTAAACTATTCTTTTGATTCAGGATGCTGGAAACACTTTTTGGAGAATTTGTGAAGGGATATTTGGGAGCCCCTTGTGGCCTATGGAAAAAAAACTATTAATAGAAAAATACTAGAAATAAGCTATTGGTGAAACTGCTTCATGACGTGTCAATTCATCTCAAAGGATTAAACCATTCTTTTGATTTAGCAGTTTGGAAACAATCTTCTTGGAGTATCTGTGAAGGGATATTTTGGATCCCATTTATTCCTAAGGGAAAAAAACTGAGTATACCCAGAAAAAAGCTCAAAAGAAGTTATTTGTGAAACTTCTTTGTGATGTGTGGATTCATCACAGAGAGTTTAATGATTCTTTTGATTCAGCAGGTTGGAAACACCTTTTGGAGAATCTGTGAAAGGACATATGTTATTGCTTTGTAGAATATGAAAAAAATGAATATCCCTAGAAAAAACTAGAAAGAGGTCAGGCGCGGTGGCTCACACCTGTAATCCCAGCACTTTGGGATGCCAAGGCGGTGGATCACGAGGTCAGGAGATCGAGACCATCTTGGCTAACATGGTGAAATCCCGTCTGTACTAAAAATACAAAAAATTAGGCAGGCTTGGTGGCGGGTGTCTGTAGTCCCAGCTACTTGGGAAGCTGAGGCAGGAGAATGGTGTGAACCTGGGAGGTGGAGCTTGAAGTGAGCCAAGATTGTGCCACTGCACTCCAGCCTGGGTGACAGAGCAAGACTCTATCTCAAAAAAAAGCTAGAAAGAAGATTTCTGTGAAACTGTTTTGTGATAGGTGGATTCATATCACAGAGTTAAACCTTTCATTTGATTCAGCAGGTTGAAAACACTCTTTTTAAGAGCATCTACAAAGGAACATTTGGGAGCCCTTTGAGGCCTGTGGGGAAAAACTGAATATCCTAAGATAGAAACTTGAAAGAAGTTATGTGTGAAACTGATGGGATGTGTGGATTCATCTCACAGAGATAAACTATTCTTTTGATTAAGCAGCTTGGGAACACTATTTTTGCTGAAACTGTGAAGGGACATTTAACAGCCCATTTAGGTCTTTGGGGAAAAACCAAATATCCCCAGAAGAAAATTAGAAAGAACCTATCTGTGAAACTGTTTTGTGATATGTGGATTCACCTCACAGAGCTTAAACTTTCCTTTGATTCAGCAGGTTGGAAACACTCTTTTTGGAGAATCTGTAATGGGACTTTTGGGAGCCCATTCAGGCCTATGGGAAAAAAACACAAAATATCCCCAGATGAAAACTACAAGGAAGCTATCTTTGAAACTGTTTTATGTAGGTGTGGATTCATCTCACACAGTTAAAACTTTCTTTTGATTAAGCAGGTGGGAAAGACTCTTTTTGGAGAATCTGTGAAGGGATATTTGAAGTTCGTTGGGACATATGGGTAAAAACTGAAGATCCCCAGATAAAAACAAGAAAGAAGCTATCTGTGAAACTGCTTTGTGGTGTGTGGATTCATCTCATAGAGTTATACCTTTCTTATGATTCAGCAGGTTGGAAACACTCTTTTTGGAGGATCTGCAATGGGTAATTTGGGAGCCCATTGAGGCCTGTGGAGAAAAACTGAATATTCCTAGGAAAAAAAATTGAAAGAACACTTCTGTGAAACTACTCTGTGATGTGTGGATTCATCTCACATAGTAAAACATTCCTTTTGATTCAGCAAGTTGGAAACACTTTTTTTGGAGGATTTGTGAGGGGACATTTGAGAGCTCATTTAGGCCTGTGGAGAAAAACAGATTATTCTAGAAAAGAATTATAAATAAGTTATTTGTGAAACTGCTTTGTGATGTGTGGATTCATCTCAAGGAGATAAATGTTTCTTTTGATTCAACAGGTTGTAAACATTCTTTCTAGATAATCATTGAAGGGATTAGGGGAGCCCATTCAGACCTATGGAAAAAAAAAACACAATATGCCCAGATAAAAACTGGAAAGAAGCTATCTGTGAAACTGCTTTGTGATGTCTGGATTTATGTCAACGAGTTAAAACATTCTTTTGATTCCATAGATAAAAAACACTCTTTTTGGAGAATCGGAGAAATGCCATTTGGGAGATGATTGAGGCCTATATGGAAAAACAAAGTATCCCCAGACAGAAACTAGAAAGAAGCTATCTGTGAAGCTGATGTGAGGTGTAGATTCACCTCACAGAATTAAAACTTCCTTTTGAATCAGCAGACTTGTACCACTCTTTTTGTATAATCTGCAAAGGGACATTTTGGAGCACTTTGAGGCCTAAGGAGGAAAACCAAATATCTGCAGATAAAAACTAAAAGTGAGATATCTGTGAAACTGCTTTGTGATGTGTGGATTCATCTCACAGAGGTAAACCTTTTTTTTTGATTCAGCAAGTTGCAAACAGTCTTTTTGTAGAATCTTTGAAGGAACATTATTGAGTCCATTGAGACCTATGTGGAAAAATCGAATATTCCCAGATAAAAATTTGAAAGAATCTCTCTGCAAAGCTGCTTTGTTGTGTTTGGTGTGCAGATACATCTAAAAGAGTTAAACATTTCTTTTGATTCAGCAAATTGGAAACACTCTTTCAAATTGGAAACACTGTTTTTGGAGAATCTGCTAAGTGACGTTTGTGAACTGATTGAGGCCAATGGAGAAAAACCAAATATCCACAGATAAAAACTGAAAGAAGCTATCTGTGAAACTGCTTTGTGATGTGTGGATTTACCTCACAGAGGTAAACCTGCCTTTTTATTCAACAGGTTGGAATCACATTTTTTCTAGCATCTTCCCTTGAGGCCTACGGGGAAAAAGCTAATGTCCCCTTATAAAAACTACAAAGAAGCTATATATGAATTGGCTTTGTGATATGTGGATTCATCTCACAGAGTTAAACCTGTCTTTTGATTAAGCATGTTGGGGACTCTTTCCTTTTTCTTTTTTTTTACAATCTGTATAGAAACATCTGGGAACAAATTGATGCTGGTGGGGAAAAGTGGAATATCCACGGATGAAAACTAGAAAGAAGCTAAGTGTGAAACTGCTTTGTGAAGTGTGGATTCATCTTACAGACTTAAACGTTCTTTGATTCAGCAGGTTAGAATCACTCTTTTTGGAGTATCTGTGAAGGAACATTTGGGAGCCCACTGATGCCTATGGGGAAAAACAGAATATCCCCAGATGAAAACTAGAAAGAAGCTATCTGTGAAACTGCTTTGTGGTGTGTGGATTCATCTCAGAGACTTAAACCTTTCTTTTGATTAATCAGGTTGGAAACACTCTTTTTGTAGAATCTTTGAAATAACATTTGTAAGTAGATTGAGGCCTATGGGAAAAACTGAATATCACCAGAACAAAAACTGGAAGGAAGCCATCTGAGAAACTGCTTTGTTATTGCAGATTCAGTGGGTTGGAAACACTTTTTGGAGAATCTGTGAAGGGACATTTGGGATCCCCTTGAGGCCTATGGTGAAAAACCAAATATCCCCAGATAAAAACTAGAAAGAAGCTATCTGTGAAACTGCTTTGTGATGTGTGCATTCATCTCACAGATTTAAAACTTTCTTTTGATTCAACATGTTGGAAACACTGTTTTGGCAAATCTGTGAAGGGACATTTGGGAGTGCACTGAGGCCTGTAGGTTAAAACAAAATATCTCCAGAAAAAAAACATGAAAGAAGCTGTCTATGAAACTGCCTTGTAGTGTGTGGGTTCGTCTAGCAGAGTTAAACCACTCTTTTGATTCAGCAATAGAAATACTCTTTTTGGAGAATCTGCGATAGGACTTTTGGGACCAAATTGAAGACTATGGGGAAAAACGCAATATCCCCAGATAAAAACAAGAAAGAAACTATCTGTGAAATTGCTTTGAGATTTGTGGGTTCTTCTCGAAGAGTAAAACCTTTATATTTATTCAGCAAGTTGGAAACACTATTTTGTAGAATCTGCGAAGGGTCATTTTGGAGAACATTGAACCTAATGGAGAAAAACTGAATATCCCCAGACAAAAACAAGAGAGAAGCTATCTTTGCACTGCTCGGTGATATGTGGATTCAGCTCACTGGGTTAAACTTTTCCTTTGATTTAACATATTGGAAAAACTCTTTTTATAGAAACTGTGAAGGGACATTTGGGAGCTCATTGAAGCCTATTGGGCAAAACTGAATATTACCAGATAAAAACTAGAAAGAAGCTATCTTTGAAACTGTTTTGTGATGTGAGAATTCATCTCACAGAGTTAAACATCTCTTTTGATTCAGCAGTTTGGATACATTCTTTTCAGAGAAATTGTGAAGGAACATTTCGAAACCCTTTAAGGCCAATAGGGGAAAACATAATAGCCACAGATAAAAACTAGAAAGAAACTATCTGTGAAACTGCTTTGTGATGTGTGGGTTTTTCTACAGAGTTAAAATTTTCTTTTTATTCACAGGGCTAAAAACCCTCTTTTTGGAGAACTTGCAAATGTAAATTTGTGAGCCTATTCAGGCCTAAAGGGAAAAAGTGAATATCCCCAGATAAAAACTAGAAAGAATCTATTGGTGAAACTGATTTGTGGTGTGTGAATTCATTGCACGGTGTTAAACTATTCGTTTGTTTCAGCAGGTTAAAAACACTCTTTTTGGAGAGTCAGTGAAGGGACATTTGGGAGGCCAATTGAGGTCTATGTGGAAAAACAGAATATCACCATATAGAAACTAGAAAGAAGTCATCTGTGATACTGCTTTGTGATGTGTGGATTCATCTCACAGACTGAAACTTTTCTTTTGATTCAGCAGGTTGGAAAGACCTTTTTTGGAGAATCTTCGAATGGACATTTGGGAGCCCATTGGGGTGTATGAGGAAAAACAGACAGAATATCCTCAGATTAAAAATAGAAAGAAACTATCTGAGAAACTGTTTTGTGATGTGTGGATTCATCTCAGAGTTAAACATTCCTTTTGATTCAGCAGGTTGGAAACACTCTAATGTTTTGAAGGTGTAAAGGGACATTTATGAGCCCACTGAGTCCTATGGGAAAAAAGAGAATTTCCCCATATAAAAACTAGAAAGAAACTATGTGTGAAACTACTTTGTGAAGTGTGGATTCAACTTATGCAGTTAAACCCCTCTCTTCATCCAGCAGATTGGAAAGACTCTTTTTGGAGAATCTGCAAAGGCACATTTCAGAGCTTATTGAGGCCTATGTGTAAAAACCAAATAGTCTCAGGTAAAAACTAGAAAGTAAGTATTAGTGAAACTGCTTTGTGTTGTGTGGATTCATGTCACAGAGTTAAACATCCCTTTTGATACAGCAGCTTATAAACACTCTTTTTGGAGAATCTGCAAAGGGGCAATTTGGATCCCATTGAGGCCTAGGGGAAAACCAGAATATCCCTCAATAAAAACTAGAAAGAAGCTATTTGTGAAACTGCTTTGTGACATGTGTATTCAACTCACTAAATTAAAACTTTCATGTGGTTCAACAGGTTGGAAATGCTCTAATTAGAATCATCAAAGAAACATTTTGGAGCCCATTGAGACCTATGGGGAAATAACAAATACCCCCAGATAAAAAGTAGAAAGAAGCTATCTGTGAAACTACTTTGTGAAGTGTGGATTCATCTCAGAAAGGTAAAACTTTCTTTTTATCAATCAAGTTGGAAATGCTCTTTTTATATAATCTGCAAAAAATAAATTTGGGAGGCTATTGAGGCCTACAGGAAAAACCTGAATATCCCCAGATAAAAACTAGTAAGTAGTTATCTGTGAAACTCCTTGTGTTGGTTGTATTCATCTCACAGTGTTAAACCTTTCTTTTGACTGAGAAAGTTGGAAACACGCTTTTTGGAGAATAATATGTGAAGAGACATTTGGGAGCCATTTGTGTCCAGTGGGTAAAAACAGAATATCAACAGATAAGTAATAGAAAGAAGCTATCTATCTGTGAAACTGGTTTCTTATGTGTGAATTCATGAATTCATCTCACAGAGTTAAACCTTTCTTTTGATTCAGCAGATTGGAAACACTGTTTCTGGAGAATCTGTGAAGGGACTTTTGAGAGTCCATTGAGGCCTATGAAGAAAAGAAAAATATCCCCAGATAAAAACTCGAAGGAAGTGTTCTGTGAAACAGGTTTGAGATGTGCATATTCATCTCACAGAGATAAAGCATTCTTGTGATTAAGCAGGTTTCAAACACTCTTTTTGGAGAATGTGAGAAGGGATATTTGAGATCCCATTGAGGCCTATGAGGAATAATAGAATATCCTTCAATAAAAACTAGAAACTATTTGTGAAACTGCTTTGTGAATTGTGTATTCATCTCACAGAGTTAAACCTTTCTCTTAAAGCAGCAGTTTGGAAACACTCCATTTGAAGAATATCCGAAGGGACATTGGGGAGCCCATTAATGCCTAAGGTGAAAAACTAAATATCCCTAGATAAAAACTAGAAAGAAGCTATCCATGAAACTGATTTGTGATGTGTAGGTTAAACTCACAAATTTAAACCTTCGTTTGATTCAGCAATTTGTGGACACGCTTTCAGGAGGAACTGTGAAGGGACATTTGGGAGCCCATTGAGGCTCATGGGGAAAAACCAAATATCCTCAAAAAACAACTAGAAAAAAGCAGTCGGTACAATTGCTTTGTGATGTGTGGCTTGATCTCACGGAGTTAAACCTTCCTGTTGATTCAGCAGGATGGAAACAGTCTTTTTATAAAGTCTGCAAAGAGACATTTTAGAGTACTTTGAGGCCTATGGAAAAAAAATCCCTAGATAAAAAGTAGAAAGAAGTTATTTGTGAAACTGATTTGTGATGTGTGGATTCATCTCACAGAGTCACACTTTTCTCTTGATTCAGCGAAGTGGAAACCATGTTTTGGAGAATCTCTGAAGAAATATTAAGTAACCCATTAAGGCCTAATGGAAAAAACAGACTCTCCCTACATAAAAACTAGAAAGAAGCTATCTGTGAAACTGATTTTTGATGTGTGAATTGATCTCACAGAGGTAATCTTTCCTTTGATTCAGCAGGTTGAAAACACTTTTTTGTAGAATCTTTGAATGAACATTTGGGAACCCACTGAGGCCTAAGGTGAAAACCTGAATATTTCTGATAACAAGAAAGAAGCTACCTGTGAAACGACTTTGTGATGTGTAAATTCATCTCACAGGGCTAAATCTTTCTTTTGATTCAGCAGGTTGGAAACATTCTTTCTGGAGAAACTGCTAAGGGATACTTGGGATTCCTTTGAGGCCTATGAAAAAAGGCCGAATATCCTCAGATAAAAACTCAAAAGAAGATATTTGTAAAGCTGCTCTGTGATGTATGGATTCCTTTCACAGATTTAAACCATTCTTTTGATTCAGCAGGTTGGAAACACTTTTTGTAAAGAATCTGTGAGGGGATATTTGGGAGCCTATTGATACCTATAGGAAAGAAACTAAATATCCCTTGACAAATACTAGAAAGAAGATATCTGTGAAACTGCCTTGTGATGTGTGGATTCATCTCACAGAGTAAAACTTTCTTTCGATACAGCAGGTTGGAAAAACTCTATTTGGAATATCTCCAAAGGGACATTGGGGAGCCCATCGCCTATGGGGAAAAACAGAATATCCTCAGTTAAAAACCAGAAACTGCTTTTTGATATGTGAATTCATATCACAGAGGTAAACCTTTCTTTTGATTCAGCAGGTTGGAAAGACTTTTTCTGTAAGTATGCAAAGGGACATTTGGGAGCCCATGGAAGCCTATGTCAAAAAAACAAATATTTCCAGATAAAAACTAGAAAGTAGCTATCTTTGAAACTGCTTCATGAAGTGTGGATTCATCTCACACAATTATACCTTTCTTTTGATTCAGCAGCTTGGAAACACTCTTTTTGGAGAATCTGTGAGGGAACATTTTGGAGCCCTTTGATGTCTATGGGGGAAAACTGAATATTACCAGAAAAAAAAGTAGAAAGAAGCTATCTATCTGTGAAATTGCTTTGTGTTGGTTGGATTCATCTGACAAAGTTAAACCTTTCTTTTGATACACAGGTTGGAAACACTTGTTTTGGAAATTCCTCAAAAGGACTTTTGTTATCTGAATGTTGCCTATGGGGAAAAGTTGAATATCCTGACAAAAAGTAGAAAGAAGTTATCTGTGAAACTGCTTTGTGACTTGTGGAATTTCTCAAAGAGTTAAACATTTCTTTTGATTCAGCAGGTTGGAAACACTCTGAAATATCCATGAAGAGACATTTGGGAGCCCTTTAAAGCCTAAGGGGAAGAACAGAATATGCCCAGATAAAAACTAGAAATAATCTATCTGTGAAACTGGTTTGTTATGTGTGGATTCATCTCGCAGAATTAAACCTTTTATTTGATTCAGCAATTTGGGAATACTCTTTTTGTAGAATCAGTGAAGGGATATTTAGGAGACCAATGAGGCCTATTGATGAAAATGCTTTGTGATGTGTGGATTTATCTCACAGAGTTAAACCTTTCTTTTCTTTCAGCAATTTGAAAACACTTTTTTGAGAATCTGTGAAGGGACATTTAGGAACCTATGGAGGCCTAGGAAGAAAAACTGAATATCTCCAGATAAAAACTAGAGAGAAGATAACTGTGAAACTGTTCTGTGATGTGTGAACTCATCTCACAGATTAAAACTTTGTTTTGATTCCACATGTTGGAAACTCTTCTGTATTTGGAGAATCTGAGAGGGGATATTTGAGAGTGCATTAAGGCCTATGGGGAAAACAAAATATCACAAGGTAAAAACTAGAAACAAGCTTTCTGTGAAACTGCTTTGTGATGTGTGGATTTATCTCACATACATAAAAGTTTCTTTTGATTCTGCAAGTTGGACACACTCTTTCTGGAGAATCTGCAAATAAACATTTGGAAGACCATTGATGCTTACATGGAAAGACAAATTATCCTCAGGTAAAACATAGAAAGAAGCTCTCTGTAAAACTGCTTTGTGATTGTGAATTCATCTCACAGAGTTAAGACTTTTTTTGATTGAGCAGATTGGAAACACTCTCTTTGCACAACCTGTGATTGGACATTTGGGAGCCCTTTGAGGTCTATGAAGAAAAGATGAATATCTTCAGATAAAAACTCAAAATAAGCTATTGTAAACTTCTTTGTGATGTGTGGATTCATCTCACAGAATTAAACCATTCTTTTGATCAAGCAGTTTGGAAAAACTCTTTTAAGAGAATCTGCAAAGAGGCATTTTGGAACCCACTGAGGCATATGGGGAAAAGCCGATTATCCCATGATAAAAACTAGAAAGAAGCTATCTTTGAAACTGCTTTGTGATGTGTGGGTTACTCTCACAGATTAAATATTTCTTTTGATTCAGCAGAATGGAAAATCTCCTTGGAGAATCTGTGAAGGGACATTCAAAATCCCACTGAGGCTGATGGGGAAAACAAAATATCGCCAGATAAAAACTAGAAAGAACCTATCTGTGAAACTGCTTTGTGATGTGTGGATTAATATCACAGAGTTAAAACTATCTTATGATTCAGCAGGTTGGAAAAACTCTAACTATTGAAACTGTGAAGAAACATTTAGGAGCACTTTGGGGCCAGTGGGGAAAAAGAGAATATCCCCAGATAAAAACTAGAAGAGACTACCTGTGGAACTGCTTTGTGATGTGTGGGTTCATCTCAGAGTTAAACTTTTCTTTTGAGTCAGAAGGTTGGAATTGCTTTTTTTATAGAATCTGCGAAGGGACATTTGGCAATCCACTGAGGCTTAGGTGCAAAAACTGAGTATTGCCTGATAAAAACAAGAAAGAAGCTGTCTGTGAAACGCCCTTGTATTTTCTGGATTCATCTGACAGAGTTAAACTTTTCGTTTCATCCAGCAGTTAGGAAAAACATTTCTGAAGAATCTGTGAAGGGATATTTGATAGCCCTTTGGGCCTATGGGTTATAGTGGAATATCCCCAGAGAAAAACTGGAAAGAAGATAGCTCTGAAACGGCTTTGCTATGTGTGGAGTCATCTCATAGAGTTAAATTTTTGTTTTGGTGGATGGAAAAACTGCTTTTAGAGAATCCACGAACGGACATTTGGGAGAATATTGATGCCTATGGGGGGAAAAAGAATATCCCACATAAAAACTAGAAAGAAGTAATCTGTGAAACTGTTTTGTGATATACGGATTTTGCTCACAGAGTTCAACCTTACATTTGATTCAGCAGGTTGGAAACACTCTTTTTGGAGAAACAGCAAAGGGACATCTGGGAGCCCATTGAGGCCCCTGGGGAAACAACAAATATCCCCAGATAAAAACTAAAAAGAAACTATCTGTGAAACTGTTTTGGGTGTGTGGCTTCATCTCACTCAGCTAAACTTTTCTTTTGATTCAGCAGGTTGGAAACGTCTTCTAAGAGAATCTGTGAATGGTCATTTTGGAGCCCATTAAGGCCTATGGGGGAAAACTGAATATCCCCAGATAAAAATTAGATTGAAGCTATCTGTGAAACCGCTTTGTAATGTGTGGATTCATCTCACAGAGTTAAAAATTTCTTTTGATTCAGCAGGTTGGAAACATTCCCTCTAAAGAATCTGTGAAGGGACATTTTTTAGCTCATTGAGGCCTGGGGAAAACAAAATATCCCCAGATAAAAACTAGAAAGAAGCTATCTCTGAAACTGCTTTGTGATATGCAGATTTATCTCACAGAGTTAAACATTTATTTTGATTCAGCAGCATGGAAACACCTTTTTTGGAGAATCTGCAAAGAAACATTTGGGAGCCCATTGAGCCCTATGGGAGAAAACAATATTTCTAGATAAAACAAGAAAGAAGCTATCTGTGAAATCGCTTTGTGATGTGTGGATTCTTCTCACAGAGGTAAACTTTTCTTTTGATTCAGTAGGTGGAAACACTCTAATTTCAGAATCTGTGAAATGAAATTTGGGAGCCTATTGAGGCCTATGGATACAAAATGAATATCTCCAGATAAACTAGAAAGAAGTTATTGGTGAAACTGCTTTGTGATGTGTGGATTCATCTCACAGATTTGAACTTTTATTCTGATTCAGCAGGTTGGAAACAGTTTTTTTGGTGAATCTGTGAGGGGAATTTTGCAGGACCATTGAGGCCTATGGAAATAAAAAGGAATATCTCCAGATAGAAACTAGAAAGAAGCTATTTGTGAAACTGCTTTGTGATGTCTGGATTCATCTCACAGAGTTAAACCTTCCTTTTTATTCAGAAGGTTGAAAACACCCTTTTTGGAGAATCTGTGAAGAGACATTTGGGAGGCCATTGAGGTCTATAAGGAGAAACAAAAAATCCCCACATAAAAACTAGAAAGAACCTATTTGTCAAACTGCTTTGTAAAGTGTGGATTCATCTCACAGAGTTAAATTTTTGTTTTGACTCAGCAGGTTGGAAATTCTTTTTGGAGAGTTGTGAGGGGACAATTGCAGGAACTTTGAGGCCTACGGAAAAAAATGAATATTCCCAAGTAGAAACTAGAAAGAAACTATCTTCTTTTTGTTTCAACAGGTTGGAAACATTCTTTTTTGAGAATTTGTGAAGGGACATTTGGTACCCATTATAACCTGCAGGGAAAAACTGAATATCCCAAGAAAAAGACAAATATATAGCTATCTGTGCAACTGCTTTGTGATGTGTGGATTCATTTCACAGAGTTAAACCTTTCCTTTGATTCAGCTAGTGGGGAGCACTCTTTTTGGAGAATCTTCGAAGGGAGGTTTTGGAGCCCATTGATGTCTTTGGGGAAAAACCAAATATCCCTACAGAAAAAACTAGAAACAAGAAATCTGTGAAAATTCTTTCTGACGTGTGGATTCATCTCACAGTTTTAAACCTTTCCATTGAAACAATAAGTTGGAAAAACCCTTTTTGGACAATCTGCAAAGGGACATTTATGAACCCATTGAGGCCTATGGGGCTAAACCGAACATCTCCAGATAAATACAAGAAAGAAGCTATATTTGAATCCACCTTGTGATATCTGGATTCATATAGCATAGTTAAATCTTTCTTTGATTAAGCAGGTTGGAAACACTTTTTGGAGGATCTGTGAAGGGACATTTGGGAGCCATTTAGGCCAATGGGAAAAAATCAAATATACCCAGATAAAAACAAGAAAGAGGTTACTAGTGAAACTTCATTGTGATGTATGGATCATGTCACAGGGTTAAGCCTTTCTTTTGATTCAGCAGGTTGGAAACATTCTTTTTGTAGAATCTGTGAGTGGACATTTGGGAGAAGATTGAGGCTTATAAATAAAAACTGAATATCCACAGATAAAAACTAGAAAGAAGCTATCTGTGAAACTTCTTTGTGATTTGTGTATTCATCTCACAGAATTAAACATTTCATTTGATCCAGCAGGTTGAAAGCACTCTTTTTGGGGAATCTGCAAAAGGACATTTGGAAGCCCTTTGAACCCTGTGTTGAAAAACTGAATATCCCCAGAGAATAACTAGAAAGAAGCTACTATATATGAATCTGATTTGTGATGTGTGGATTCATCTCACATACTTAAACCCTTCTTTTGTATTAGCAGGTTGGAAACACTCTTTTCATAGAAACTGCAAAGCGAAATTTTGGAGATTTTGAGGCCTATGGAAAAAAGGAGAATATACCCAGGTGAAAAGTAGAAGGAAGCTATCTGTGAAACTACTTTGTGATGTGTTGATTCATCTCACAGAGTTAAACCTTTCTTTTGATTAAGCAGGTTGGAGACACTTTAATTAGAGAACTTGCAAGGTACATTTTGGAGCCCATTGAGGCCCATGAAGAAAAAACCGAATATCCCCAAATAAAAACTAGAAAGAAGATATCTATGACTCTGATTTGTGATGTGTGGATTCATCTCACAAAGTTGTAACTTTCTTTTGATTGAGGAGATTGGAAACACTATTTTTCAAGGATATGTGAAGGGATATTTGGGTTCCCATTACAGCCGTTGTGGAAAACTGAATATATGCGTTGTGAATAGTGGATTCATCTCAAAGAGTTAATCCTTTTTGATTCAGCAGGCTGGAATCACTCTTTCTGGAGAATTGTTGAAGGGATTTTTGTGCCAATTGAGGCCTACGGGGCAAAACAAAATGACCCGAGGCAAAAACTAGAAAGAAGCTATCTGTAAAACTGTTTTGTGATGTGCGGATTCATCTCACAGAATTAAACCTTGCTTTTGATTTGGCAAGTTGGAAACACTCCATTTGGAAAATCTGTGAAGAGATATTTGGGAGCCCATTCAGGCCTATGGAAAAAAATTGAATGTCCCCTGATGAAAACTAGAAAGAAGCTATCTGCAAAACTGCTTTGTGATGTGTGGTTTCAACACACAGAGTTAAAATTTTCTTTTGATTCAGCAGGTTGGAAACACTCTTTATGGAGGATCTGCAGAGGGACATTCAGCAGCCCATTGAGGCATATGGGGAAAAACTGAATATTCCTAGAAAAAAGTTTGAAATAAATTTCTATGAAACTGCTTTGTAAAGTGTGGATTCAACTCACATACTAAAACATTTCTTTTGATTAAGCAGGTTGGAAAGACTTTTTTTGGAGGATTTACCAAGGGACAATTGGAAGCTCATTGAGGCATGTGGGGAAAAGCTGAATATGCCTAGAAAAAAATTAGAAAAAATGTATTTGTAAAACTGCTTTGTGATGTGTGGATTCATCTCTACGTGTCAACATTTGCTTTTTATTCGGCTCATTGAGGCCTGTAAGTAAAAACCAAATGAATCCAAACAAAAACTAGAAAGAGACAATTAGTGAAACTTCTTTGTATTGTGTAGATTCACCTCGCAGTGTTTAAACTTTCTTTTGATCCAGCAGGTTGGAAAGCCTTTTTTTTTTTTTTTGAGGCAGAGTCTGACTCTGTTGCACAGGCTGGAGTGCAGTGGCACAATCTCAGCTCACTGCAAGCTCTGCCTCCTGGGTTCACGCCATTCTCCTGACTCAGCCTCTCAAGTAGCTGGGACTCAGGTGCCCGCCACTATGCCCAGCTAATTTTTTGTATTTTTAGTAGAGATGGGGCTTCATAGTGTTAGCCAGGATGACCTCAATCTCCTGACCTTGTGATCTGCCCACCTCAGCTTCCCAAAGTGCTGGGATTACAAGCATGAGCACTGTGCCCAGCCTGGAAAGACGTTTTTTAAAGAAACTGTGAAAAGACATTTGGGAGCCCATTGAGGCCTTTGCCATTGAGGCAAAAAACCAACTTTTGTCAGAAAGAAACAAGAAAGAAGGTATTTGTGAAACTGCTTTGGGATGTGTGGATTCATCACAGCAAGTTAAACCTTTCCTTTGATTCAGGAGATTGGAGATCAGGAGATTTTTTCTTTTGATTCATGAGATTTGAGAGCCCACTGAGGCCTGTGGTGAAAAACTGAATATCTCCAGATAAAAACTAGAGAGAAGCTATCTGTGAAATTCCTTTTTGATGTCTGGATTCATCTCACAAAGCTGAACCTTTCTTTTGATTTGGCAGGTTGGAAACACTCTTTTTAAATAATATGCAAAGGGACATTTAGGAGCCCATTGAGGCCTATCAGACCAAACTTAATATCCCCAGATTAAAACTGGAAAGATGCTCTCTGTGAAAACTGCGTTTCAAAGTCTGGATTCATGTCACAGAGTTAAAACTTTCTTTTGATTCAGCAGATTGGAAACACTCTTTTTGGAGAATTTGCAAAGGGACATTTAGGAGCCCATTGAGGCATATGGGAAAAAAATGAATATCCCCAGATATAAACTAGAAAGAACCTATTAGTGAAACTATTTTATGAAGTGACCATTCATCTGACAGAGGTAAACCTTTCTCTTGATTCAGCAAGTTGGAAACACTCTCACTGTAGAATCCATGAAGGGACATTTGGGAGCATATCGAGGCTTAAAATTAAAAAAGCAAATATCCCTACATAAAAACAAGAAAGAAGATCTTTGTGAAACTGCTTTGTGATGTGTGTATCCATATCAGAGGGTTAAACCTTTCTATTGACTTAGCAGATTGGAAACACTTTTTAGAGGATCTGCAATGGGACATTTTGGAGCCAATTGAGACCTATGGGGAAAAACCAAATATCCCCAGAAAAAAGAAAAAAAAAAAAAAACAGATGCAAGCTTTCTGTGAAACCACTTTGTGAAGTGTGGATTGATCTCACAGTGTTGAAACTTTCTTTTATCCAGCAGGCTGTAAACACTTTTTGTAGAATCTGCAAATAAACATTTGCTAGCCCACTGATGCCTATGAGTAAAAGTTTTATATCCTCAGATAAAAACTAGAAAGAATGTATTTGTGAAAATGTTTTGTAATTTGTGTATTCATCTCACAGAATTAAACCTTTTTTTGATTTAGAAGCTTTGAAGCACTCTCTTTGTAGAATCTGTGAAGAAACATTTCAAAGCCTTTTGTGGCCCATAAGGGAAAACCGAATATACCCCAACAAAAAAAATAGAAAGAAGGTATCCATGAAACTACTTTGTGATGTGTAGTTTCAACTCACATAGTAAAACATTTCTTTTGATTCAGCATGTTGGAAACACTTTTTTTTTGGAAAATCTTCAAAGGGAATTTTGGGAACCCATTGAGGTCTATAGGGAAAAACCGATTATCCCCAGATAAAAACTAGAAAGAAGGTATGTGTGAAACAGCTTTGTGATGTGTGGATTGATCTTGCAGTGTTAAACCATTCTTTTGATGCAGCAGGTTGGAAACGTCCAAAATGGACATTTTGGAGCCCATTGTGGCATATGAGGAAAAAATGAATATCCCCATGTAGAAACTAGAAAGAATCTATCTGTGAAAGTGCTTTGTGATGTATGGGTTCATCTCACAGAGTTAATCCTTTCCATTCCTTCAGTAGGTTGGAAAAACTCTTTTTGTAGAATCTGTGAGGGGACGTTTGTGAGCCCTTTGAAGCCTAAAAGGAAAAATTGAATATCCCCAGATAAAACTAAAAGTAAGCTATCTGTGAAACTGCTTTGTGATGTATGAATTCATCTCACATAGAGAAACCTTTCTTTTGATTCAGCAGGTTGGAAACAATCTTGTTGTAGAATCTGCAAAGGGATATTTGGGAGCCCATTGAGCCCTAAGGAGAGAAACATGATATCCCCAGATAAATATTAGAAAGAAACTATCTGTGAAACCATTCTTTCAATTCAGCAGGTTGGAAACACACTTCTTACACAACTGAAAAGTGCCACTGAAGCCCGCTGAGATCTATAGAGAAAAACCAAATATCCTCTCATAAAAACTAGAAAGAAGTTATCTGTAAAACTGCTTAGGGATGTGTGGATTCCTCTCACAAACTTAAACCTTTCTTTTCATTCAGACGGTTGGAAACACTATTTTTGGAGAATCTGTGAAGGGACATTTGAAAGCCCATTGAAGCCTGTGGGGGAAAAATGAATAAACCTACATAAAATTTACAAAGAAGTTATCTGAGAAAGTGCTTTGTGATGTGTGGATTCCTTTAATAGAGGTAAAATTTTCTTTTGATCCTGCAGGTTGGAAACACTCTTTGTAGTTTCTCTGAAGAAACATTTGGGAGCCCATTGAGGCCTAGAAGTAAAAAGCGAGTATCCTCAGAAAAAAAAAAAACCAACTAGATAGAAGTGCTCTGTGAAATTGATTTGTCATTTGTTGACTCATGTCTGAGTTAAACTTTTCTTTTGATTCAGCACGTTAGAAACACTCTTTTTGGAGTATCTTCGAAGGGACATTTGGAAGCCCATTGAGGCCTGTGGGGAAACACTGAATATCCCCAGAGAAAAACTAGAACAAAGCTACCTGTGAAACTACCTTGTTATATGTGGGATCAGCTCACACAGTTAAAGCTTTGTTTTGATTCCACAGGTTGAAAACACTCTTTTTGTAGAATCTGTGGAGGGACATTTGGGAGCCCATTAAAGCCTATGGGTAAAAACAGAATATCCCCAGATAAAAACAAGAAAGAAGCTATCTGTGAAACTAATTTGTAATGTGTGGATTCATCTCACAGAGTTAAAACCTTTTTTTGATTTAGCAGGTTGGAATCTCTCTTTTTGTAGAATCTGAAAAGGGACATTTAAGAGCCCATTGATGCCTACAAGTAAAAACTGAATATCAGCAGATAAAACTAGAAACAAGCTATCAGTGAAACTGTCTTGTCATGTGTTGACTCATGTCACAGTGTTAAACCCTTCTTTTGATTAAGCAGGTTGGAGCCACTCTTTTTGCAGAATCTGCAAAGGGACTTTTGAGAGCCCATAGACGCCTATGGGGAAACATCGCATATTCTCAGATTAAAAACTAGAAGAAACTACCTGTGAAACTACCTTGTTATGTGTGGATTCAGCTGACAGAGTTAAAGCTTTCGTTTGATTCAGCATGTTGGAAACACTATTTTTGTAGAATCTGCAAAGAGACATTTGTAGCCCATTAAGGCCTACAGGGAAAAACTGAATATTCCCAGAAAAAGCTAGAAAGAAGCTATCTGTGAATCTAATTTTTCATGTCTGGATTCATCTCACAGATACAAAACTTTCTTTTGATTCAACAAGATGAAAACACTATTTTAGATAATCTGCAAAGAAACATTTTGTAACCCATTGAGGCCTATGGAGAAAAACAACATATTTCCAGGTAAAAACTAGAAGAAAACTATCTGTGAAACTGCTTTTTGATATGTGGATTCATCTCACAGGCTTAAACCTTTCTTTTGATTCAGCAGGTTGGAAACACTCTTTTTGGAGTATCTGCAAAGGGACATTTGGGAGCCCATTGAGGCCAAAGGGGAAACATTGAATATCCCCAGATAAAAAGTGGAAGGAAGCTATCTGTGAAACTGCTTTGTTATGTGTTGATTCATCTCACAGAGTTAAATTTTTCTTTTGTTTCAACAGGTTGGAAACACTCTAATTGGAGAATTGACAAAGGGACATTTTGGAGTCCATTGAGGCCTATGGGGAAAAACTGAATATTCCCAGATTAAAACTAGAAAGAAGCTATCTGTGAAACTGCTTTGTGATGTGTGGATTCATCTTCCAGACTTGAATCTTTCCATTGATTGAGCAGGTTGGAAACACACTTTTTGTAGAATGTGCTAACGGACATTTGGGGGCCCAGTGAGACCCATAGGGAAAAACTGAATATGCCCAGATAAAAACGAAAGACAACGTATTGTGAACTGCTTTGTGAGGTGTGGATTCATCTCACAGAGTTAAATCTTTCTTTTGATTATGCAGGTTGGCAAACTTTTTTTGTAGAATCTGTGAAGGGACACTAAAGAGCCCTTTCAGGCCTGTGGGAAACAATCAAATATCCCCAAGATAAAAACTAGAATTAATCTGTCGGTGAAACTGCTTTGTGAAGTATGGATTCATCTCACAGAGTTAAGCCTTTCTTTTGACTGAGCAGGTTGGAAACTTTTTTTTGGAGTATTTGTGAAGGGACATTTCAGATCCCAATGATGCCTATAGGGAAACACAAAGTATCCCAAGTTAAAAACAAGAAAGAAGCTATCTGTGAAAAGGCTTTGTGATGTGTGGATTCATCTAACAGCATTAAAACTTTGCTTTGATTCAGCAGGTTGGATATACTCTTTTTGTAGAATCCGCAAAGGGACATTTAGGTGGCCATTGAGGCCTATGGGGCAAACAAAATATCCACAGGTAAATACTAGAAAGAAGCTGTCTGCGAAACTGCTTTGTGTTATGTGGATTCAACTTACAGAGTGAAGCCTTTCTTTTGATTCAGCAGATTGGAAATACTGTTTTTATACAGTCTCCAAAGGCACGTTTGGGAGCTCACTGAGGACTATGGGGAAAAAAAAAGAAACAAATATCCCCAGAAAAATAAAAAAACAAGAAGGAAGCTAAATTTGAAACTGCTTTGTGTTATGTGGATTCATCTCACAGAATTAAACCCTTCTATTGATTCTGCAGGTTAAGAAATACTCTTTTTGGAGAATCTACTTAGGGTCATTTGGAATACCGTTGAGGCCTACTGAGAAAAACCACATATTCAAAGACAAAAACTAGAAAAAAGCTATCTGTGAAACTACTTTGTGATTTGTGGATTCATCTTACAGAGTGAAACCTTTCTTTTGATTCATCAGGTTGGAAAAACTCTTTATGGAGGATCTGCAAAATGAAATTTGGGAAACCATTGAGGCCTATGGGGAAAAACTGAGTATCCCCATATAAGAAGTAGAAAAAAGCTATCTGTGAAACTGCTTTGTGATGTGTGGATTCATCTCACAGAGTTAAACTTTCTTTTGATACAGCAGATTGCAAACACTCTTATTATAAAATCTTTGAAGGGAAATTTCATGGCCCATTGAGGCATATGGGGAAAAGCTGAATATCCCCAGATTAAAACTAGACAGAAGCAATCTGTAAAACTGATTTGTGATGTGTGGAATCATCTCACAGAGTAAAAGCTTACTTTTGATTCAGCAGGTTGAAAACATTTTTGGAGAATATGTGAAGGAATATTTTGGAGCCCTTTAAGGCCTACGGGGAAGAAAAGAATATCCACATATAAAAACTAGAAAGAAGCTAACTGTGAAACTGCTTTCAGATACGTGAATTCACTTCATAGAGTTAAATCTTTCTTTTGATTCAGCACGTTGGAAACACCGTTTTTGGAGAATCTGAGAAAGGACATTTGGGAGCCCATGGAGTTCTTATGGGAAAAACAGAATATCCCTCAATAAAAACTGGAAAGAATCTATCTATGAAACTGCTTTGTGATGTGTGGATTCACCTCACAGAGTTAACACTTTTTTTGACTCACCAGGTTGGAAAAACTTTTTTGGAGAATCTGCAAAGAAACATTTGGGGGCCCACTGTGGCCTATGGGGAAAAATCGAATATCCCTAGATAAAAAGAAGAAAGAAGCTGTTTGTGCAACTGCTTTGTGACGTGTGTATTAATCTCACCGAAATAAACCTTTCTCTTGATTCTGCAGGTTGGAAAAGCTCTATTTGGAGAATCTCTGAAGGGTCATTGGGGAGACCGTAAATGCCTAAGGGGAAAAACCAAATATCCCCAGATAA
This sequence comes from Homo sapiens, assembly GCF_000001405.40. Classification (NCBI taxonomy): domain Eukaryota; kingdom Metazoa; phylum Chordata; class Mammalia; order Primates; family Hominidae; genus Homo; species Homo sapiens. The sequence continues at coordinate 43,835,168 of NC_000008.11, forward strand.
AAACTAGAAAGAATCTATCTGTGGAACTACTTTGTCATATGTTGATTCATTTAATGGAGTTAACCTTTTTTTTTTGATTCAGCCAGTTGGAAACACTCTTTTTGGAGGATCTGCAAAGAAACATATGGGAGCCCATTGAGGCTTAAGGGGAAAACAGAATATCCCCCAATAACAGCAAGAGTAATGCTCTCAGTAGAACTGCTTTGTGATGTTTGGATTCTTGTCACACAGTTAAACCTTTTTCTTGATTCAGCAGGCTAGAAACATCGTTTTTGGATAATCTGTGAAGAGTCATTTGGGAGCCTTTTGAGGCCTGTGGAAAAAAAAACGAATATCTCTAGATAAAAACTAGAAAGAAGTTATCCGTGAAACTGCTTTGTAATGTGTGGATCCATCTCACAGAGGTAAAGCTTTCTTTCCACTCAGCACGTTCGATACAGTCTTTTTGGAAAATCTGTGATGAGACATTAGTGAGCCCACTGAGGCCTATTGGAAAAGCTGAATATCCCCAGATAATAACTACAAAGAAGCTATCTGTGAAACTGCTTTTTTACGTGTGGGTTCATCTCATGGATTTAAAACTTTCTCTTGATTCAGCAGATTGGAAACACTCTTTTTGGAGAATCTCTGTACAGATATTGGGGAGTGCATTAAGGCCTATGGAGAAAGAATATCCCCAGATAAAGACTAGAAAGAACCTATCTGTGAAATGGCTTTCTGTTAGGTGGATTTATCTCACAAAGTTACACCTTTCTTTTGATCCAGCAGGTTTGAAACACTTTTCTGGACAATCTTCAAGTGGACATTTGGGATAAAATTACAGCCTATGGGGAAAAACTTAATATCCCCAGATACAAAGTAGAAATAATCTGTCTGTGAAACTGCTTTGTGATGTGTGAACTCGTCTCACAGAGTTAAACCTTTGTTTTCATTCAACAGGTTGGAAACACTCTTTTTGGAGAATCTGTGAATGGACATTTGGGGGCCCTGTGTGGCCTATGGGGAAAAAACAAATATCCCCAGATGAAAACTAGAAAGAAGCTCTCTGTGAAACTCCTTAGTGACGCGGGGACTCGTCTCACAGAGTTAAACATTTCTTTTGATTCAGCAGGCTGGAAACACTCTTTTTGGAAAATCTGTAAATGTTCATTTGGGAGCCCACTGAGGCCTATGGAAAAAAAAATCACCAGATAAAAACTAGAAAGAAACTATCTGTGAAATTGGTTTGTGCAGTATGGATTCATCTCACAGAGTTAAACCATTCTTTTGATTCTGCAGGTTGGAAAGAGCTTCTTTTGAAAATCTGAAAAGGGAAATTTGGGAGCCCATTGAGTCCTATAGGGAAAAACAAAATATTCCCAGATAAAAATGAGAAAAAAGGTCTTGTGAAGCTTCTTTGTGATGCATGGATTCATCTCACAGAGTTGAACCACAGTTTTTATTCAGTAGGTTGGAAAGAGTTTTATTGGAGAATCTCTACAAAAGGACATTTGAGAGCCCATTGAGGGACATGAAAAAAAATGAATAACCCCAAAATAAAAACTAGAAGGAAGCTATCTCTGAAACTGCATTGTAATGTGGGGATTCAACTCTCAGAGTTACAACTTTCTTTTGATTCAGCATGTTGGAAACACTTTTTGTGGAGAATCTGTGAAGGGACATATAGGAGGCCTTTGTGTCCTACGGGGAAAAAGAAAGAAAAAAACTAGAAAGAAGCTATCTGTGAAACTGCTTTCTGATGTGTGGATTCATCTCACAGATTTAAACCTTTCTTTTGATTCAGCAGGTTGGGAACACTGTTTTTCTAAAATGTAGGAATTGACGTCTGGGAACCCATTGAAGCTGATGGGGAAAAACTGATTATCCCCAGATGAAAAATAGACAGAGGCTATCTGTGAAACTGCTTGATGGTGTGTGGATAAATTTCACGGACCTAAACCTTCCTTTTTATTCAGCAGGTTAGAAATACTTTTTTTCTAGGGTCTCCCAAAGGACAATGGGAGCACATTGAGGCATAAAAAAATAAAAAATAAACAAATATCGCCAGAGAAACACTAGAAATAAGTTATATAAGAAAATGCTTTGTAATGTATGGAGTCACCTCACAGAGTTAAACCTTTCTTTCGATTCAGGAGATTGGAAACACTCTGTTTTGAGAATCTGCAAAAGGACATTTGGGAGCCCTATGAAGCCTATTGGGAAAATCTGAATATCCCCAGATAAAAACTAGAAAGAAGCTATCTGTGAAACTGCCTTGTAATGTGTGGACTCATTTCACAGAATTAAAACTGTTTTTTTGATTCTGAAGATTTTAAACACTTTTTTTTTTGAGAATCTGTGAAGGGATATTTGGGAGACTACTGAGATCTATGGGAAAAACCGAATATCCCTAGATAAAAACCAAAAAGAAGCTATCTGTGAAACTGCCTTGTAATATGTGAACTCATTTCACTGAACTAAAACTTTCCTTTGATTCTGAAGGTTGGAAAAACCTTTTTGTGAAGAACCTGAAAAGGGACATTTGGGGTAAACATTGAGGCCTATGGGGAAAAACTGAATATCCTCAGATGAAAACAAGAAAGAAGCTGTCTGTGAAACTCCTTTGTGATGTGTGGATTCCGCTCACATAGCTAAACTTTCTTTTGGTTCAGTATGTTGGAACACTCTTTTTCTAGAATCTGCAAAGGAACATTTGGGAGGCCATTGAGGCCTATGGGGAAAAACTGAATATCCCCAGATAAAAACTAGAAAGAAGCTATTTGTGAAACTGTTTTGTGACATGTGTATTCATCTCACAGAGTTAACCTTCCATTTTATTCAGCAGGTTGGAATCACTCTTTGGAGAACCTGTGAAAGGACATTTGGGAGCCCATTGAGTTCTATGGGGAAAAACCAAATATCCCGAGACAACTACTAGAGAAAAGCTATCAGTAAAACTGCTTTGTGACGTTTGGATTGAACTCACAGAGTTAAACCTTTCTCTTGATTCAGCAGACTGAAAACTGTCTTTTTGTAGAGTCTGTGAAGAGACATTTGGGAGAACATTGAGGCCAATAGAAATAAAGAGAATATCGCTAGTTAAATACTAGAAATAAATTTTCTGTGAAACTGCTTTGTGAGGTGTGGACCCATCTCACAGAGTTAAAGCTTTCTTTTGATTCCTCAGATTCAAAGCAGTGTTTTTGGAAAATATGTGAAGGGAAATTTAGGAGCCTATTGAGTCTTATGGGGAAAAGCTGAATATCCTCAGATAAAAACTAGAAAGAAGCTATCAGTGAAACTGCTTTGTGATGTGTGGATTCATCTCAAAAAGTTAAAACTTTTCTTTGATTCAGATGGTTGGAAATACTCTTTTTGAGGAATCTGTGATGGGACATTTGTGAGCCCATTGTTGCCTATGGGAAAAAAAAGTATATCCACATATGAAAACTAGAAGAAGCTACCTGTGAAACTGCTTTGTGATGGGTGAATTCATCACACAGAGTTAAACCTTTCTTTTGATTCAGCAGGTAGGAAACACTCTTTTTTGTAAATCTGTGAATGGAGCCTTTTGAGACGTATGGGGAAAGACTGACTATACAGAGATAAAAACGAGAAAGAATCTATCTGTGAAACTGCTTTGAGATGTGTGGATTCATCTCATAGAGATAAACCTTTCTTTTGATTTAGCAGGCTGGAAGCACTTTTTCTGCAGAATCTGTGAAAGGACATTTGGAAACACACTGTGGCCTATGAAGAAAACAGAATATCTCCATATATAAACCAGAAAGAAACCATCTAAGAAACTGCTTAGTGAGCTGTGGCTTCATCTCACAGAGTTAAAGCTTTCTTTTGATTCTGCAGGTTGGAAAAATTTTTTTGGAGAATCTGTGAAGGGACATTTGGGAGCCCATTGAGGCCTATGGAGAAATATCAAATATCCCCTGGAAAAAGGGACAAAGAAGCCATCTGAGAAACAGTTTTGTGATGTGTGGATTCATCTCACTATGTTAAACCTCTCTTTTGATTCAGGAGGTTGGAAGCACTCCTTTTGAGAATCTGCAGAGGGACATTTGGGAGCCCATTTAGGCCTAATATCCCCAGACAAATACCACAAAGAAGCTATCTGTGAAACTGCTTTGTGATGTGTGGATTCATCTCGCAGAGGTAAAGCTTTCTTTTGTTTCAGCAGATTGGAAACACTCTTTTTGTAGAATATGTGAAGATACTTTTTGGATCCTATAGAGGAGTAGGGGAAAATGAAAACATCCCCAGATAAGAACTACAAAGAACTGTCTGTGAAAGTGCTTTGTGATGTGTGGATTCATCTCACAGAGTTCAACCTTTCTTTTGATTTAGCAGGTTGGAAACACTCTTGTTGTAGAATCTGTTGAGAAATATTTGGAAGTCCATTGATGCCTGTGAGAAAAAAACATATATCTCCAGATAAAACTACAAAGAAGCTATCTGTGAAACTGCTTTGTGAGGTGTGTATTCATCTTACAGAGTTAAACTTTCTTCTTATTCAGTAAGTTGGAAACAGTCTTTGTGAGAATCTGTGAAGGGACATTTTGAAGCTCTTGGAGACCTTTAGGGAAAAATCAAATATCTTGAGATAAAAACTAGAAAGAAGCTCTCCGTGAAACTGCTTTGTGATGTGTGGATTCATCTCACAGAGTTCAACATTTCTTTTTATTTGGCAGGAAGAAAACACTCTGGAGAATCTGCGAAGGGATATTTGGGTGCCATTGAGGCCTATGGGAAAAAAACTATATATGCCCAGATAAAAAAAGGGAAAAGCTATCTTTGAAACTGCTTTGTTATGTGTGGATTCATTACACAGAGTTAAACCTTTTTTTCCATTATCCAGGTTGGAAACCCTCTTTTTGGAGCAACTGTGACAAGACTTTTCAGAACCCATTTAAGCCTATGGGGAAAAAGAGAGTATCATCAGATAAAAACTAGAAAAAGCTATTGGCGAACCTGCTTTGTGATGTGTGGATTCATCTCACAAAGGTAAACCTTTCTTTTGATTCAGCAGATTGGAAACACTTTTTTGGATTATCTGTGAAGGGACTTTTAGGAACCCATTGTGGCCTAGAAAGAAATACCAAATTTCCCTAGATAAAAACTAGAAAGAGGCTATCTGTGAAACTGCTTTGTGATGTGTTGATTCATCTCACAGAGTTAATCATTTCTTTTAATTCAGCAGGTTGGAAACCCTCTTTTTGAAGAATCTATGAAGGGAAATTTAAGAGCCCCTTGAGGGCTAGGTGCAAAATTGAGTATCCCCAGATGAATACTAGAAAGAAGCTATCTGTGAAACTGCTTTGTGATGTCGGGATTCATCTTACAGAGTTAAACCTTTCTCTTGATTCAGTAGGTTGGAAACACTCTTTTTATAGAATCTGGGAAGAATCATTTGGGAGCCCATTGAAGAGTATAGGGAAAAATGGAATATCCAAGACAAAAACTAGAAAGAAACACTCTGTGAAACTGCTTTGTAAAGTGTGGATTCATCTCAAAGAATTAAACCCTTCTTTTAATTCTGCAGGTTGGAAACATTCTTTTTGGGGAACCTGTGAAGAACATTTTTGTGTCCATTGAGGCCTCTGGATAGAAAATGAATATCCTCAGATAAAAACTAAAAAGAAGCTATCTGTGAAACTGCTTTGTGGTGTATGGATTCATCTCACTGAGATAAACCATTCTTTTGATTCTGCAGATTGGAAACACTTTTTTGGATAATCTGTGAAGGGACATTTAGGAGCCCATCGTGGCCTATGGAGGAAAACAAAATATCTCCAGATAAAAACTAGAAAGATACGCTTTGTGAAACTGCTTTGGATATGTGTTATCACCTCGAAAAGCTAAAACTTTGTTTTAATTAAGCAGGTTGGAAACACTCTTTTTGCAGAATCTGTGAAGGTACATTTGGGAGATAATTGAGGTCTATGGGGAAAAAACAAATATCCCCAGAGAAGAACAAGAAAGAAGCTATCTGTGAAATGGCTTTGTAATGTGTGGATTCATCTCAGAGATTTAAAACTTTCTTTTGATTAAGCAGGTTGCAAACAGTTTTTTGGAGAATCTGCATAGGGACATTTGGGAGCCCATTGAGGCCAACGGAGCACAACAGAATGTCACCAGAAAAAAGCTAGAAGGAAGCTACCTGTGAAAGTGCTTTGTGATGTGTGTATTCATCTCATAGAGTTAAACTTCTCTCTTGCTTTAACATGTTGGAAACACTCTTTTTATAGAAACTGTGAAGTGACATTCTGGAGCCCATTTAATCCTATTGGGCAATATCAAATATCTCCAGATAAAAACTAGAATGAAGCTACCTTTGAAACTGCTTTTTGATGTGAGGATTCATCTCACAGAGTTAGTTAAACCTTTCTTTTGATTCCTCAGGTTGTATACACTCTTTTTGGAGAATATGTGAAGGGACATTTGGAGCCCTTTTAGGCCCATGAAGAATAACCAAATATCCCCAGATTTATCTTTCTAGTTTTTAAACTAGAAAGCATGTATCTGTGAAACTGCTTTGTGAAGCAAAAAGTTCAGCACTTTGGAAACTTGTTTTATAGAATATGCAAAGGGACATTTGGGAGTCCATTGAGTCCTATGGGGGAAAAGGAATATCCCTAGAAAACATTTGAAAGAATTCTTCTATGAAACTGCTTTACAATGTGTGGATTCATCTCACCATGTTAAACTTTTCTTTTGGTTCAGTAGGTTGGAAACACTCTTTCTGGAGAAGATGCGAAGGTACATTTGGGAGCCCTTTCAGGCCTATGGGAAAAACCGATTATCCTAAAATGAAAACTAGAAAGAATATATCTGAGAAACTGCTTGGTGATGTGTTGATTCATCTCAAAGAGTTAAACCTTTCTTCTGATTCAGCAGATTGGTAACACTATTTTTGGAATATCTGTGAAGGGACATATGGGAGCTCATAGAGTACTATAAATAAGAACTTTTTATCCCCAGAAAACAGCAAGAAAGAAGCAATCTGTGAAACTGCTTTGTGTGGTGTGGATTCATCTCACAGAGTTAAAACTTTCTTTTTATTCAGTAAGATGGAAACACTGTTTTTTGCGAAATCTGCATAAAGATATTTTGGAACTTATTGACACGTATGAGGCAAAACAAATTATACCCCAATAAAAACCAGAAAGAACCTATCTGTGAAAGTGCTTTGTGATGTGTGGATTCATCTCACAAACCAAAACCTTTTTTTTGATTCAGCAGGTTGGAAACACTCTTTTTGGATAATCTGCAAAAAGACATTTGGGAGCCCTTTAAGGCCTATGAGGAAAAATCCAATATTCCCATATAAAAACTAGAGAGAAATTTTCTGTGACGCTACCTTGTGATATGTGGATTCATCTCACAGAGTTAAACCTTTCTTTTGATTCAGCACGTAGAAAAGACTCTTTCTGGGGAATCTGCAAATGGATATTTGGGAGCCATCATGGCCTAGGGGAAAAAAAAGTGTAAAATCCTAGATTTGATAAAAGGAAGAAGTTACCTTTGAAACTGCTTTGTGATGTGGGGTTCAGCTCACAGAGTTAAACCTTTTTTTTCATTCACCAGATTGGAAACAATCTTTTTGGAGAATCTGTGACTAGACATTTTGGAGCCCATTGAGGCCTAAGGGGAAAAACGAAATATCCTCAGATAAAAACTAGAAAGAAGTTATTGGTGATCCTTCTTTGTGATATATGGATTCATCTCACAAGGGTGCATCTTTCCTTTGATTAAGCAGATTGGAAGCACTCTTTTTGGATAATATGCTCGGGGACATTTAGGAGCCCATTGTGGCCTATGAAGAAAAATAAAATATCCCCAGATAAAAACTAGAAAGAAGTTATCCATGAAACTATTTCATGAAGTGTGGACTCATTTCACAAGTTAAATGTTTCTTTTGATTCAGCAGGTTGGAAGCCCTCTTTTTGAAGAATCTATGAAAGGAAATTTCAGAGCACACTGAAAGATTGGCACAAAATTGATTATGCCCTGATGAATACTAGAAAGAAGCTCTCTGTGAAACTGCTTTGTGATGTGTTGATTCATCTCACAGAAATAAAACTTTCTTTTAATTCAGCTGGTTGGAAGCTCTCTTTTTGGAGAATCAGCCAAGGGACATTTAGGAGCCCATCAATGCCTATGGAGAAAAACGAAATATCCCCAGATGAAAAATAGAAAGATGCTATCTGTGAAACTGCTTTGGATATGTGGATTCATCTCAAAAGCTAAACCTTTTTTTTAATTAAGCAGGTTGGAAGCACTTTTTTTGGAGAATCTGCAAAAGGATACTTGGGAGCCCATTGAGGCCCATGGATCAAAACTGAATAACCCTATAAAAAATAGAATGAAGCTGTGTGTGAAAGTGTTTTGTGATACTTGGATTCTTTTCACAGAGTTAAATCTTTATGTTATTCAGCTGGTTGGAAACACTCTTTTTGGAGAATCTGCACAGGGCCATGTGAGAAAACATTCAGGTCAATGGAGAAAAACTAAATATCCCCAGATAAAAACTAGAGAGAAGCTATCTTTGAAACTGCTTGGTGATCTGTGGATTCATCTCACAGAGTTAAACTTTTATCTTGATTTAGCATGTTGGAAACACTTTTGTTTGTAGAAACTGCAAAGGCACCTTTGGGAGCCCATTGAATCCTATTGGGCAAAACTGAATATCACCATATAAAAACTGGAAAGAAGCTATATTTGAAATTGCTTTGTGATGTGAGGTTTCATCTCACAGAGTTAAACTTCTCTTTTGGTTCCACTGTTTGGATACATTCTTTTTGGAGATCCACGAATGGACATTTTGGAGTTTGATTCAGCAGGCTGGGAACACTCTTTTTTATAGAATATTTGAAGGGACATTTTGGCATCCATTGAGGCCTGGGTGGAAAAAGTGAATATATCCAGAAAAAAATTTGAAATAGTCTTTCTGTGAAACCGCTTTAAGATGTGCAGATTCATCTCACAGAGTTAAACATTTCCTTTGATTCAGCAGGTTGGAAAAACTCTTTTTGGAGAACCTGCGAAGGTATATTTGGGAGCCCATTCAAGCCTAAGGGGAAAAAACAGCATATCCCCAGATAAAAACTAAGAAGAATATATCTGTGAAACTGCTTTGCAATGTGTGAATTCATCTAACTGAGATAAACCATTCTTTTTTTTCAGCAGGTAAACAACTCTCTTTGGAGAATCAGCAAAGGGACATTTGGGAGACCTTATAGGACTATGTGGAAAGAGAATATCCCCATACAGCAGCTAGGAAGCAGCTATGTGTGAAGATGCTTTTTGATGTGTGGATTCATCTCACAGATTGAAAACTTTTTTTGATTTGCAGTTTGGAAACACTCCTTTTGGAGAATCTGCAAAGGGACATTTGGGAGCCCATTGAGGCCTATCTGGAAAAACCTAATATCCTCATATTAAAACTAGAAAGAGCTGTTTAACTGCTTTGTGATTTGTGGATTCATCTCAGAACTAAACCTTCTTTAAATTCAGCTGGTTAGAAACAATCTTTTTGGAGAATCTGCAAAAGGGCATATAAGAGCCCATTGATGCCTATGGGAAAACACAGAATATACCCAGGTAAAACTAGAAAGAATCTGTCTGTGCAAAGTACTTTGTGATGTGTGGATTCATCTCACAGAGTTAAATATTTCTTTTGATTCAGCAGGATGAAAACACTGTTTTTGGAGAATCTGAGAAGGGACATTTGGGAGCCCCTTGAGGTCTACGAGGAAAACAGAGTGCCCCAATATTAAAACTAGAAAGAGCTATCTGTTTAACTGCTTTGTGATTTGTGGATTCATCTCAGAGTTAAACCTTTTTTTTTTTGATTCAGCAGGTTGGAAGCAATCTTTTTGGAGAAACTGCGAATGGACTTATAAGAGCCGATTGACACCTATGGGAAAACAAAATTATACCCACATAAAACTAGAAAGAATCTGTCTGTGCAAAATACTTTGTGATGTGTGGATTCATCTCACAGAGTTAAACCTTTCTTTTGATTCAGCAGGATGAAAGCACTCTTTTTGGAGAATCTGAGAAAGGATATTTGGGAGTCTATTGAGGCTTATGGGGAAAAAGTGGTTATCCTCAGTTAAAAACTAGAAAGAAACTCTCTGTGAAACTTCTTCATGGCATGTGGATTCATCTCACAGAGTTAAACTTTTGTTTTTGACTCAGTGGGTTGGAAACACTTTTTTTGAGGAGTCTGCGAAGGGAATTTTTGGAGCCCATTGAGACCTATGTGGAAAAACTGAATATCCCCAGATAAAAAAAGAAAAAAAGCTATCTGTGAAAATACTTTGTGATGTGTGGATTCATCTCAATAAACTAAAACTTTCTTTTAACACAGGAGGTTACAAACACTCTTTCTGGAGAATTTGCAAAGGGAAATTTTGCAGCCCTTTGAGACTAATGGAAAAAACTGAATATGTCCAGATAAAAACTCAAAAGAAATTATTTGTGATACTTCTTGATGTGTGTATTCATTTCACAGAGTTAAACCTTCCTTTTTATCTAGCAGGTTGGAAACCCTCTTGTTGGAGAATCTGCAAAGAGAAAGTAGGGCGCCCTTTGATGCCAATGGAGAAAAACCAAATATTCCCTGAATAAAACTAGAAAGAAGCTATCTGTGAAATTGCTTCATGATGTGTGGATTCATCTCACAGAGTTAAATCTTTCTTTTCATCCAGCATATTGGAAACACTCTTTTTGTAGGATGTGTGAAGGGACATTTTGGAGCCTATTGAGTCCTATAAATAAAAACCAAATATACTTAGATAAAAACTGGAAAGAAGCTATCTGTGAAACTGATTTGTGATTTGTGGATTCATCTCACATTTCTTTTGATTCAGTAGGTTGGAAACACACTCTTTGGAGAATCTGTGAAGGGACATGTGGAAGCCCATTGAGGTCTATGTGGAAAATTTGAACATCCCCAGATAAAAACTAGAAAGAAGCAATGTGTGGAACTGCTTTGTGATGTGTGGATTCATCTCACAGAGTTAAACACCTCTTTTGATTAAAAGGTTGGAAACACTCTTTTTGGAGGGTCTATGAAGGGATATTTGGTATCCCTTTGAGGCTTCTGGGGAAAACCTGAATATCCTCTGATAAAAATTACAAATAAGCTACCTGTGATAATGCTTTTCGATGTGGGGATTCATCTCGAAAGTTTAACATTTCCTTTGATTCAGCAGGTTGAAAATACTCTTTTTGGAGGATCTGCAAAGAGACATTTGGGAGCCCTTTGAGGTCTATGGGAAAAAATCAAATATCCCCAGACAGAAACTAGAAAGAAGCTATAGGTGAAACTGCTTTATGATGTGTGAATTCATCTCACAGAGTAGAACCTTTCCTTTGATTCAGCAGGTTGTAGACACTCTCTTTCGAGAATCTGTGAAGGGGCATTTTGGAGCCCATTGAGGCCTGTGAGGAAAAAGTGAATATCACCAGATAAAAACTAGAAAGAAGCTATCTGCGAAACTACTTTGTAATATGTGGATTCATCCTATAGAGTTAAACCTTTCCTTTGATTCAGCAAGTTCAAAACACTCATTTTGAAGTATCTGCAAGGGGACATTTGGGAGCCCTTTGAAGCCTGTGGGGCAAAATGGAATAGCCCCAGATAAAAACTACAAAGAAGCTGTGAAAGTGATTTGTGATGTATGGATTCAACTAACAGAATGAAACCTTCCTTCTGATTCAGGAGGTTGGAAACACGCTTTTGGCAGAATCTGCAAAAAGACATTTTGAAGCACCTTAGAGCCTATGGGGCAAACCCAAATATCCCCAGATGAAAACTAGAAAGAAGGTATTTGTGAAACTGCTTTGTGATGTGGGGATTAATGTCACAGAGTTAAAACTTTGTCTTGATTCAGAAGGTTGGAAACACTTTTTTGGGGGAATCTGCAAAGGGACATTTTGGAGCACATTGACTCCTACTGGGAAAACCTAACATCCCCAGATAACAACGAGAAAGTAGCTATCTGTGAAAATGCTTTGTTATTTGTGGATACATCTCACAGAATTAATTTTTTTTGATTCAGCAGAGTAGTAACACTCTATTTGGAGAATATGTGAAGGGAAATTTGGGAGCCTATTTAGGCCTAGGGTAAAAACAGAATATTGCCAGATAAAAACTAGAAAGAATCTATCTCTTCAATTGCTTTGTGACATGTTGGTTCTTCTCACAGAGTTAATCTTTTCTTCTGATTCAGCAGCTTGGAATCACTGCCATTGGAGTATTGGTGAAAGGATATGTGGGAGCCCATTGGGGCCTATAAATATAAACTGAATATCCCCAGATAGCAACAAGAAAGAAATTATCTATGATAATGCTTTGTGATGTGTGGATTCATCTCACAGAGTTAAAACTTTCTTTATTTAGCAGGCTGAAAACTCTCTTACTGTAGGATCTGCAAAAAGACATTTTGGAATTTATTGATGCCTACGAGGCAAAACCAAATATCCCCAATTAAAAACTAGAAAGAACTTATCTGTGAAATTGCTTTGTAATATGTGGATTCATCTCACAGAGTTAATGCTTTCTTCTGATTCAGCAGGTTGGAAACCCTCTTTTTGAAGCATTTGCAAAGGGACATTTCAGAGCTCTTTGAGGCCTATTTGCAAAATAGAATATCCCAAGATAAAAAATTGAAAGAAGTTTTCTGTGAAACTGATTTGTGATGTGTGGATTCATTTAACGGAGTAAACCTTTCTCGTGATTCACCAGGTTGGAAACACTCTTTTGTAGAATATTGAAAGAGTAATTTGGGAGACAATTGAGGCCTATAGGGGAAAACAGAATATTCCTGGAAAATAACTGGAAAGATGTTATCTGTTAAACTGCTTTGTTATGTGTGGATTCATCCTAAGGAATTAAACCTTTCTTTTATTCAGCATTTTGGAAACAATATTTTTGGAGAAACTGCAAAGAAAATTTAGGTGTCCATGGAGGCCTATGGGAAAAACTGAATATCCCCAAATAAAAACTAGAAAGAAGCTATCTGTGAAACTGCTTTTGGATATGCAGATTCATCTCACAGAGATAAAACTTTCTTTTTATTCAGCAGGTGGGAAGCACTTTTTTTGTAGAATCTGCAATGAGACATTTGAGAGTCCATTGTGGCGTACACGGAAAAACAATATCCCCAGAAAAAAACTGAAAGAATCCACCTGTGAAACTGCTTTGTGATGTGTGGATTCGTCTCACAGGGTCAAACCTATCTTTTGATTCAGCAGGTTGGAAAAACTATTTTTGGAGAATCTGCAAAGAGACATTTTGGAGCCCATTGAAGTTTATATGGAAAAACAGAATATCACCAGATAAAAACTAGAAAGAAGTTATCTGTGAAACTGCCTTGTGATATGAGGATTCATCTCACAGAGTTAAACCTTTCTTTTGATGCAGGAGGTAGAAAACGCTCTTTTTGGAGAATCTGTGAAGGAATATTCATGAGCCATTGAGGCCTACAGGAAAAAGCATATAACCCCAGATAAAAAAAGGAAGATGCTATCTTTGAATCTGCTTTGTGATGTGTGGATTCATCTGACAGAGTTAAACCCTCCTTTTCAAGCAGCAGGTTGGAAACACTCTTTTTGTAGCATCTTTGACAAGACATTTCTGAGCCAATTTAAGCCTATGCAGAAAAGCCGAATATCCTCAGATAAAAACTAGAAAGAAGCTATCAGTGAATCTGTTTTGTGACGTGTGGATTCATCTCACAAAGTTAAACATTTCTTTTGATTTCACAGATCGGAAACACTCTTTTTGGAAAATCTGCAAAGGGACAGTTAGGAGTCCACTGTGACCTATGAAGAATAACCAAATATCTCCAGATAAAAACTAGATAGAAGCTTTCTGTGAAACTGCTTTGTGATGTGTGGTTTCATCACACAGAGTTAAATGTTTCTTTAGATTCAGCAGGTTGGAAATCCACTTTTTGAAAAATCTACAAAAGGAAATATCAGAGCACATTGAGCGCTAAGCACAAATTTGAATATCCCCAGGTGAATACTAGAAAGAAGCAATCTGTGAAACTGCTTTGTGATGTGGGGATTCATGTCACAGTTAAAACTTTCTCTTGATTTAGGAGGTTGCAAACACTCTTTTTGTAGAATCTGTGAAGGATCATTTCAGAGCCCATTGAAGACTATTGGGGAAAAATGGAATATCCCCAGATAAAAACTAGAAAGAACTCTCGGTGAAACTGCTTTGTGATGTGTGGATTCATCTCAAGGAATTAAAATTTTCTTTTAATTCAGCAGTTGGAAACACTCTTTTTGTAGAACCTGTGAAGAACCTTTGCATGCCCATTGAGGCCTAAGGGAAAAAACATAATATCCCCAGATAAAAACTAGAAGGAAGGTATCTGTGAAACTGCTTGTGATGTAGGGATTGATGTCACAGAGAAAAAACTTTCTTTTGATTCAGCAGGTTGGAATAACTGTTTTTGGAGAATCAGCCAAGAGACATTTAGGAGCCCATTGAGGCCTATGGAGGAAAACATAATATCACCAGTTAAAACCTAGAAAGGTGCTATGTGTAAAACTGCTTTGGATACGTGGATTCATCTCGCCAAAGTAATCCTTTCTTTTAATTAAGCAGGTTGGAAACACTCTTTTTGGAGAATTTGCAAAGGGACATTTGAGAGACCATTAAGGCCAATGGGGAAAAACCTAATATACCCAGATAAAAACTAGAAAGAAGATCTCTGTGATACTGCCTTGTGATTTGTGGATTCATCTCACAGATTTAAACCCTTCTTTTGGTTTAGCAAGTTGGAAATTGTTTTTTGGAAAATTTGTGAAGGGACATTTAGGAGCCCACTGAGGCCATTGGAGCAAAACTGAATACCATCAGATGAAAACTAGAAAGAAGCTATCTGTGAAACTGCTTTGTAATGTGTGGATTCATCTCACAGAGTTAAACATTTCTTTGGATTCAGCAGGTTGGAAACACTATTTTTGGAATATCTGCAAAAGGACATTTGGGAGCCCATTGAGGCTTACAGGTAAAAGCAAAATAACCCCAGATAAAAACTAGAAAGAAGCAATCTGTGAAAGTGCTTTGTGATGTGTGGATTCTTTTCACAGAGTTAAAGCTTTATATTAATTCAGTAGGTAGGAAACACTCTTTGTGGAAAATCTGTGAAGGGCCATTTTGGAGAACATTGAGGCCAAAGGAGAAAAACTGGATATCCCCAGACAAACACTAGAGAGAAGCTATCTTTCAAACTGCTTGGTGATGGGTGAATTCATCTCACAGAGTTAAACTTTCCTCTTTATTTACTGTGTTGGAAACACTTTCTTTCTATAAACTTCAAAGAGACAGTTGGGAGCTCATTGAATCCTAATGGGCAAAATAGAATATCACCAGATGAAAATTAGAAAGAATCTATCTTTGAAACTGCATTGTGATGTGAGGATTCATCTCAAAGTGTTAAACCTTTCTTTTTATTCTGCAGGTTCGATAAACTCTTTTTGGAGAATCTGTGAAGGGACATTTTGCAGCCCTATATGGGTAATGGAGAAAAACCAAATATCCCCAGAGAAAAACGAGAGAGAAGCTCTCTGTGACACTGCTTTGTGATGTGTGGGTTTATCTCACAGAGTTAAAACTCTTTTGATTCAGCAGGTTGGAAATCTCTTTTTTATAGAATATGTGAGGGGATATTTGGGAGTCCACTGAGGCCTAGGTAGAAAAAGTAAATATCCTAAGAAAAAAATTTGGAAGAATCTTTCTGTGAAGCAGCTTTACAATATATGGATTCATCTCACAGAATTAAACCTTTCCTTTTATTCAATAGATTGGAAACACTCTTTCTGAGGAACCTGCAAACGTACATTTTGGATTCCATTCAGGCTTAAGGGGAAACAGCAAACGTATCCACATAAAAACTAGAAAGAATCTATCTGTGAAGCTGCTTTGTGACATGCGGATTCATCTCACTGAGATAAACCACTCTTCTGTTTCAGTAGTTTGAAAAGAGTCTTTTTGGAGAATCAGTGAAGGGACATTTGGGAGACCATTGAGGCCTATGTGGAAAAACAGAATACCCCATATAGAAACTAGAAAGAAGCTATCTGTGAAACTGCTTTGTGATGTGTGGATTCATCTCACAGAGTTAAACCTTTCTTTTATTTCAGCTGACTGGAAACACTGTTTTTGGAAAATCTGCAAGGGGACATTTGTGAGCCCACTGATGCCTGTTGAAAAAAAAGGTGAATATCCTTAGATAAAAACTAGAAAGAAGCTATCTGTGAAACCGCTTGGTGATGTGTGGATTCATCTCACAGAGTTAAAAGTTTCTTTTGATTCAGCAGGTCAGAAACACACTTTTCTGAGAATCTGCGAAGGGATATTTTCCAGCCCATTGATGCCTAAGGGAAAAAAACGAATATCCCCAGATAAAAACTCGAAAGAAGCTACCTGTGACACAACTCCATGGTGTGTGGATTCCCTTCAGAGAGTTAAGCCATTCTGTGGATTAAGCAGATTGGAAACACTTTTTGGAGAACTTGCGAGGGGACAATTGGGAGCAAATTTTAGCCTATAGAAAAAAACTAAATATCCTCAGATAAAAACTAGAAAGAAGATATCTGAGAAAATGCTTTGTGATGTGTGTATTCATGTCCCAGATATAAACGTTTCTTTTTATTCAGCAGGTTGAAAACACTTACTTTAGAGAATCTATGAAGGGACATTTGGGAGCTTATTGAGGACTGTGGGGAAAAACTGAATATCCCAAGATAGAAACTCAAAAGAAACTACATGTGAAACTGATGTGATGTGTGAATTTATCTCACAAAATTAAACTATTCTTCTGAATCAGCAAGTTGGAAACACTCTTTTTGGAGAATCTGTGAATGGACTTTTGGGAGCCCATTGAGGCCTATGGGGATCAACAAAATATCCTCAGGTAAAAACTAGAAATAAGGTAACTATGAAACTGCCTTGTGAGGTGTGGATTCATCTGATGGAGTTAAAATTTTCTTTTGATTCAACAGCTTGGAAATGCTCTTTTTGGAGAATCTGTGATGGAACGTTCGGGGGCCCATTGGGGCCTATGTGGCAAAAAAGTATATCCCCAGAGAAAAACTAGAAAGAAGCTGTCTGTGAAACTGCTTTGTAATATGTGGATTCATCTCACAGAGTTAAAACTTTCTTTTCATCCATCAGGTTTGAAAACTCTTTTTGCAAAATCTGCGAAAAAGCATATTTGAGCCTGTTGTGGCCTATGGGGCAAAATTGAATATTCCCAGAAAAAAAACTATAAAGAAGCCATCTGTGAAACTCTTTTGTGATGTGTGGATTCATCTCACAGAGTTAAACCTTCCTTTTGATTCAGCAGGTAGGAAATCCTCTTTTTGGAGCATCTGCAAAGGGACCCTTGAAAGCCCATTGTGGCCTATGGGGAAAAATTGAATATCCCAAGATAAAAACTAGAAAGAAGCTGTCTGTGAAACTGTTTTGTGGTGTGTGGCTTCATATTACACTGGTAAACTTTTCTTTTGATTTAGCAGGTTGGAAACATTCTTTTGGTAGATTCTGCAAGAGATATTTGGGAACCCTTTGAGGACTATTGGGAAAAACTGAATTTCCCCAGAAAAAAAAAAACTAGAGAGTTGCAATCTGTGAAACTTCTTTGTGCTGTGTGGATTTATCTCCCAGAGGTAAACCATTCTTTTGATTCAGCAGGTGGGAAACACTCTTCTTGGAGAATATGCAAAAGGACATTTTGTAGCCCATTGTGGCCTATGGGGAAAAACAAAATATGCCTAGATAAAAACTAGAAAGAAGCTGTCTGTGGAACTGCTTTGTGATATGTGTATTCACCTCACAGAGTTAAACGTTTCTGTTGATTCAGGAGGTTGGAACCACTTTAACTGGAGATTCTGTGAAGAGACATTTAGAAGCCCATTCAGACATACAAGAAAAAACTAAATGTCCCCAGGTAAGAACTAGAAATAAGCGATCTGTGAAACTGTTTTGTGATGTGTGGATTGATCCCACAGAGATAAAATTTCCTTTTGATCCAGCAGGTTGGAAACACTATAATTTTAGATTTTGCAAAGAAACTTTTCAGAGCCTTTTGAAGATTACAAAGAAAAACTGAATATCCCTAGATTAAAAACTAGAAAGAAGCTATCCATGAAACTGCTTTGTGATATGTGGATTCACCTCAAAGATTTAAACCTCTCCTTTGATTTGTAGGTTGGAAATATATTTTTGGAGAATCTGTGAAGGGTCATCTGGGAGCCCATTGTGGCCTATGCAGAAAACCTGAATATCCCCAGATAAAAACTAGGAAGAAGCTGTTTGTGAAACGATTTTCTTATGTGTGGCTTCATCTAACAGAGTTAAAACTTTCTTTTAATTCATCAGGTTTAAAACATTCCTTTT
The DNA here is from genome assembly GCF_000001405.40 of Homo sapiens. Lineage (NCBI taxonomy): Eukaryota > Metazoa > Chordata > Mammalia > Primates > Hominidae > Homo > Homo sapiens. The sequence goes on from NC_000008.11 coordinate 43,853,589, forward strand.
GAATAATCCATGAAGGGACATTTGTTAGCCCATTAAGGCCTGTGTGGAAAATGGAATATCCCCAGATCAAAACTAGAAAGAAGCTATCTGTGAAACTATTTTGTGAAGTGTTGATTCATCTCACAGTGATAAACTTTTGTTTTGATTCGACAGGCTGCAAAGGGACATCTTGAAGCCACTGAGGCCTATGAAGAAAAACTGAATATTCCCAATAAAAATGAGAAAGAAGCTATCTGTGAAAATGCTTTTTGATGTGTGGATTCATCTCACAAGTTACAATTTTCTTTCAATTGAGGAGGTTGGAAATACTCTTTTTGGAGAATATGAGAAGGGACATTTGGGAGCCAACTGAGGCCCATGTGGAAAAGCTAAATATACCCAGATAAAACATGGAAAGAAGCAATCTGTGAAACAGCATTGTGATGTGTGGGTTCGTCTCACAGAGTTAAAACTTTCTTTTCATTCAGCAGGTTAAAAACACTCTTTTTGGAGAATGTTCAATGGGACATTTCAGAGCCCATTGAGGCCTGAGGGGAAAAACAGAATATCCACAGACAAAAAATAGACAGAAACTATCTGTGAAAGTACTTTGTGAAGTGTGAATGCATCTCACAGAGTTAAATCTTTCTTTTGAATCAGCAGGTTGGAAACACTCTTTTTGGAGAATCTGCGAAGGGACATTTGAGAGCCCATTATGGCTTTTGAGGAAACACGAAATATCCCCAGATCAAAACTAGAAGGAAAGTATCTGCAAAACTGCTTTTTGATGTGTGGAGTCATCTCACAGAGTTAAACATTACTTTTGAATCTGCAGGTTGGACAACTTTTTTTGGGAAATCTGTGAATGGACATTAGGGAGCTTACTGAGTCGTATTGCAAAAAACTGAATGTTTCCAAATAAAAACTAGAAAGAAGCTACCTGTGAAACTACTTTCTGATGTGTGGATTCATTTCATGGAATTAAACCTTTTTTATGATTCAGCAGGTTGGAAAATCTCTTTTTGAAGGATCTGGAAAGTGACATTTTGGAGCCCTTTGAAGCCTAGGGGAAAAACGGAATATCTCCAGATAAACAGTATAAAGAAGCCATCTGTAAAACTGCTTTGCGATGTTTGATTAATCTCAAAGAGTTAAAACTTTCTTTTCAACCAGCAGGTTGGAAACACTCTTTTTGGGGAATAAATGGATATTTGGGAGCCCTTTGAAGCTTATGGGAATAAACTGAATATTCACAGATAAAAACTAGAAAGAAGCTATCCTTGAAACTGCTTTCCGATGTGTGGATTCATTTCACAGAGTTAAAACTTTCTTTATATCCAGCAGGTTGGAAACACTCTTTTTGGAGGATCTGTGAAAGGACATTTGGGAGCCCACTGAGGCCTGTGTGAAAAAAATGGGGTATCCCCTGATAAAAACTAGAAAGAAGCCATCTGTGAAACTTCCTTGATATGTGGATTCATTGCAGAGAGATAAACATTTATTTTGATTCAGCAAATAGAAAATGCTTTTTATAGAATCTGTGAAGGAACATTTGTAAGCCCATTGAGTTTGATAGAGAAAAACGGATTACCAACATATAAAAACTTAAAAGAAACTATCTGTGAAACTGCTTTGTGATGTGTGGATTCATCTCACAGAGTTAAGCCTTTCTTTTCACTCTGCAGGTTGGAAACACTCCTTTTCCAGACTCTACTAAGGGATATTTGGGAGTTCCTTGAGGCATAGGGGGAAAAACCAAATACTCAAAGATAAAAATTAGAAAGAAGCTATCTGTGAAACTGCTATGTAATGTGTGAATTCATCTCACAGAGTTAAACTTGTCTTTTGATTAAGCAGGATAGAAACCCTCTTTTTCTAGAATCTGCAAAGGGACATTTGGGTGCCCATTGAGACCCATGTGGATAAACACAATATAGACAGATAAAAACTAGAAAGAAGCTATGTGTAAATCTGATTTTTGATGTGCAAATTCACATCACAGCATTAAACCTTTTTTTTATTCAGCAGGTTGGAAACCCTCTTTTTGGAGAATCAGTGAAGGGACATTTAGGAGCCCACTGACACCTATGGGAAAACACCAAATATTCTCAGATACAAACTAGAAAGAAACTATCTCTGAAACTGCCTTGTGGTGCGTGGATTCAGCTCACAGAGTTAAACTTTTCTTTTGATTCAGCAGGGGAAAACATTCTTTTTGCAGAATCCGTGAAGGGACAATTGAAGCCCATTGAGGCCTACGGGGTAAAAAGGAATAAAACCAGATAAAAACTACAGAGAAGCTATCTGTGAAACTGATTTTTGATGGGTAAACTTATCTCACAGTGTTAAACCGTTCTTTTGATGGAGCTGATTGGAAATACTCTTTTTGGAGAATCTGTGAAGGAGCATATGGGAACCCATAGAGGCGTAGAGAGAAATACCGAATATCCACAGACAAACATTAGAAAGAAGCTATCTGTGAAACTGCTTTGGATGTGTGGATTCATCTCATATAGTTAAAGCTTTCTTTTGATTCTGCTGGTGGGAAACATATTTTTGGAGAATATGCAAAGTGTCATTTGAGGGCCCATTGAGGCCAATGGGGAAAAACTGAATATCCCCAGATAAAAATTAGAATGAAGTTATCTGTGAAATTGCTTTGTGATGTGTCAATTCATCTCACAGAGTTAAAACTTTCTTTTGATTCGTCAGTTTGGAAATATTCCTTTTGAAGAATCTGTGAAGGGACACTTTTTAGCCCACTGAGGCCTGTGGAAAAACCTGAATATCCCGAGATAAAAACTAGAAAGAAGCTATCGGTGAAACTTGTTTGTGATAGGTGGATTCATCTCATAGAGTTAAACATTTGTTTTCATTCAGCAGCATGGAAACACCCTTTTTGGAGAACCTGCAAAGAAATGTTTGAGAGCCCATTGAGACCTATGGGAAAAAACCGAATATTTCCAGATAAAAAGAAGTTAGAATCTATGTGTGAAACTGCTATGTGATGTGTGGATTCATCTGATGGTATTAAACTTGTATTTTGATTCAGCATTTTGGAAACACTCTAATTTCAGAATCTGCGAAATACATTTCAGAGCCCATTGAGGCCAACGGGGAAACACTGGATATCTCCAGATAAAATCTGGAGAGAAACTATCTGTGAAATTGCTGTGTGATGTGTAGATTCATTTCACAGAGTTAAATTTTCTTTTGTTTCAGCAGGTTACAAACACTCTTTTTGGAGAATCTGTGAGGGGACATTTGCAGGAACATTGAGGCCTATGGGAGAAAAAAACAAATATCCCCAGGTACAAACTAGAAAAAAGCTATCTGTGAAAATGTTTTGTATACCTCACAGAGGAAAAACGTTCTTTTTATTCACCAGGTTGGAAACACCCTTTTTGGAGAATCTGTGAAGAAACATTTGGGAGCCCACTGAGGCCTATAAGGAGAAACAAGATATCCCCAGATAAAAAGTAGAAAGAAGCTATCTGTGAAACTGCTTTGTGATGTGTGGATTCATCTCACAGAGTTAAACATTTCTTTTGTTTCAACAGGTTGGATACATTCTTTTTGGAGAATCTGTGATGGCACATTTGGGAGCCCATTCAGGCCTATGGGGAAAACAGTTTATCCTCAGATAAAAACTAGGAGGTAGATATTTGTGAAATTGCTTTGTGATGTGTGGAATCAACTCACACTGTTAATTTTTTTCTTTTGGTTCAGCAGGTTGGGACCACATCTTTTTGGAAAATCTACAAAGAAACTTTTGGAAGCCCAGTTAGCCCTATGGGAGAAAACTGAATATTCTCAGATACAAACTAGAAATGAGCCATCTATGAAACTTCTTTGTGATGTGTGGATTCATCTCAGAGAGTTAAAACTTTTCTTTGATCCACCAAGTTGAAAACACTGTTTTTTGGAGAATCTGTGAGGGGCAATTTGGGAGTACTTTGAGGCCTAGCAGGAAAAAAAGAATATCACCAGGTAAAAACTATAAAAGCTACCTGTGAAACTACCTTGTGATGTGTAAATACATCTCACACAGTTAAATCTTTCTTTTGATTCAACAGGATCTGAACAATGTTTTTGGAGAATTTGTAAATGGACATTTGAAAACCCATTGAGGCCTATCAAGAAAAACTGAATATCTCCAAAAAAAACTAGTAAGAAGCTATCTGAGAAACGGCTTTGTAATGTGTGGATTCATCCCACAGAGGTAAAACTTTCTTTTGATTCAGAAGGTTGGCAACACTTTTTGGAAAATCTGTGAAAGGACATTTGAGAGCCCATTGAGGCCTATGAGGAAAATGCAAATATCCTTTGATAAAAACTGAAAAGAAGCTATCTGTCAAACTGCTCTGTGATGCATTGATTCATCTCACATTGTTAAAACTTTCTTTTGATTTAACAGGCTGGAAACACTCTTCTCTGAGAATCTGCAAAGGGATATTTTGGATCCCATTAATTTCTAAGGGAAATAATTGAGTATCCCCAGGGGAAAAAAAAACACAAAAGAAGCTATCTGTGTACTACTTTGTGATGTGTGGGTTCACCTCAGAGAGTTAAACTATTCTTTTGATTCAGCAGGTAGGAAACTCTTTTTGGAGGGTCTGCAAAGTGAAGTTTGGCAGCCCATTGTGACCTATGGAAAAAAAACAAGTATCCCTAAATAAACCTAGAAAGAAGCTATATGTGTAACTGCTTTGTGATGTTTGGATTCATCTCACAGGGTTAAAACTTTCATTTGACTCAGCAGGTTGAAAACACTCTTTTTAGATAATCAATGAAGGAAATTTTGGGAGCCTATTGAGGCCAGTGGGGGAAAAACAAATATCCTGAGATAGAAACTCGAAAGAAGCAATGTGTGAACGTGATGTGATGTGTGGATTCATCTCACAAAGGTAACCCATTCTTTTGCTTCAGCAGGTTGGAGACACTCTTTTTAGAGAATTTGTGAAGGGACATTTAAGAGCCCATTGAGGTCTTTGGGGAAAAACAAAATATCCCCAGATAAAAACTAGAAAGCAGCTATCTGAGAAACTGATTTGTGATGTGTGGAATCATCTCACATAGTTAATACTGTCTTTTTATTCAGCAGGGTGGAAACACTATGTTTGGAGAATCTGTGAAGGGACTTTGGGAGCCCATTTAGGCCTGTGGAGAAAAACAAAATATTCCCAGATAAAAACTAGAAAGAAGCTATCTGTGAAACAGCTTTGTGATGTGTGGATTTATCTTACAGAGATTAACCTTTCTTTTGATTCAGCAGTTTGGAAACTCTCTTTTTGGAGAACCTGGGATAAAACATTTGGAATCTTATTGAGGCCTATGTTGACAAACTGAATATTTCCAGATGAAAACTAGTAAGCAGATATTTGTGAATCTGCACTGTACTGTGTCAATTCATCTCACAATGTTAAACCTTTCTTTTGATTCAGCACGTTGGAAACACTCTTTTTCAATAATCTGTGAAGGGACATTTTGGTGCCCCTTGAGGCTTATAAGAAAAAAACAAAATATCCCCAAATAAAAAACTAAAAAGGAACTGCCTGTGAAAATGCTTTGTGATATGTGAATTCATCTCACAGACTTAAGTGATTCTTTTGATTCAGCACGTTGGAAACATTCTTTTTGTAGAATCTGAGAAGAGACATTTAAGAGCCTTATGAGGCATATCAGAAAAAAAGAATATCCCCTTATAAAAACTAGACAGAAGCTATCTGAGAAACTGCTTTGTGATGTGTGGATTCATTTATCAGAGTTAAACCTTTCTTTTGTTTCAGCAGGTTGAAAAAAAGTCCTTTTGGTGACTCATTGAAAGGTCATTCTGGAGTCCATTGAGGGTTAAAAGATAAAAAAAGAGTATCCCCAGATAAAAACTGGAAAGGAGCTATCTGTGAAACTGCTTTGTGATGTGTGGATTCATCGCAAAAAGTTAAAACTTTCTTTTAATTCAGCAGGTTGGAAACATTGTTTCTGAGAAACTGTGAAGGTACATTTGGGAGAGCTTTGAGGCCTATGGGGAAAAAAACGAATATCCTCAGATAAAAACTAGAAAGAAGCTATGTGTGAACCTGCTTTGTGAAGTGTGGATCCATCTCACTGAGTTAAACCTTTCTTTTGATTCAGCATGGTGGAAACACTCTTTTTGCAGAATCTGTGAAGGGATATTTGGGAGCTCTTTGAGGCCTGGGGGGAAAACCAAATATCCCCAGATAAAAACTATAAAGAATCTATCAAAAAACTGCTATCTGATGTGTGGATTCATGTCACAAGTTAAACATTTCTTTTGATTCAGCAGGTGAAAAACATTCTTTTTGAGTATCCCTGAAGGGACATTAGGAGCCCATTGAGGCCTACTTGGAAAATCCGAATATCTGCAGATAAAAACTAGAAAGAAGCTGTCTGAAAAACTGCTTTTTGATGTTTGGATTTATCTCACAGAGTTAAAACTTCCTTTTGATTCAGCAGTTAGGAAACACTCTTTTTGGAGCATCTGCAAAGGGATGTTTGGGAGCCAACTGAGGCCTATGGGGAAAAATTGAATATCTCAAGATAAAAACTAGAAGGAAATTAACTGTGAAAGTGCTTTGTGATATGTGCATTCATCTCACAGAGTTAAACCATTCCTTTCATTTAACAAGTTGGAAACACACTTTTTGTAGAATCTGTGAAGTTACATTTTGTAGCCTATGGTGGATAGGGGAAAAACCGAATATCCAAAGATAAAAAGCAGAAAGTGACTATAAGTGAAACTGCTTTGAGATGTGTGGATTAATCTCACAGAGCTAAACCTTCCTTTGGTTCAGCAGGTTGGAAACATTCTTTTTGGAGAATCTGTGAAGGGACATTTAAATTCTCAAGGAGGCCTATGGGAAGAAAACCAAATATCCCCAGACAAAAAAAAAAAAACAGTAAGTTTAAACCATTCTTTTCATTCAGCCAGTTGGAAACACACTTTTTGTAGAAACAGTGAACTTACATTTGGTAGTCTATAGTGGATAGGGGAAAAATCAAATATCCAAAGATTGAAAAGTAGAAAGTGGCTATAAGTGAAACTGTTTTGATATGTGTGGATTCATCTCACAAAAGTCAACATTTCTTTTGATTCATCAGGTTGGAAAGACTCTTTTTGGAAAATCTACAAAGGGACTTTTTGTAGTAGATTGAGGCTTACAGGGAAAAACTGAATATGCTCAGACAATAACTAAAAGAAACTTTCTGTGAAAGTGCTTTGTGATGTGTGAATTCATCTCACAGAGTTAAAACTTTCACAGGCTGGAAACTTTCTTTTTGGAAAATCTGGGAAGGGATATTTGGGATCACATTGAGGCCTATGGGGAAAAACCGAATATCCAGATATAAAAACTGCAAAGAAGTTATCTGTGAAACTGGTTTGAGACGTGTGGATGCATCTCACAGATTTGCACCTTTCTCTTGATTCAGCAGGTTGGAAACACTATTTTTGGAGAATCCACACAGAGACATTTGGAAGCCTATTGTGGTCCATGGGAAGACCCGAATATCCCCAGATAAAACTAGAAAGGATCTATCCATGAAACTGCTTCTTGATGAGTGTATTCAACTCACAGTTAAAACTTTCTTTTGATTAAGCAGGTTGGAAACACTTTTTGGAGACTCTCCAAAGGGACATTTAAGAGCCTATTGAGGCCTAAAAGAAAAAACTGAATACCCCCAGATAAAAACTTTGAAGAAATTATCCATGAAACTGCTTTGTGTTGTGTGGATTCATCTCAGAGTGGTAAAGCTTTCTTTTTATTCAGTGGAATGGAAAGACTCTTTTTGTAGAATCTGCAAAGGGACATTTGGGAGTTTATTTAAGCCTATGGGAAGAAATTGAATATCCCCACATAAAAACCAGGCAAAAGGTACCTGTGAAACTGCTTTGTAATGTGTGGATTCATGCCAGAGAGTTAAAACTTTCTTTTGATTCAACAGGTTGGAAACTCTCTTTTTGGAAACTCTGTGAAGGGACATTTGGGAAACCATTGAGGTCTATGGGGAAAAAATGAACACCTCCAGATAAAAGCTAGAAAGAAGCTGTCTGTGAAACTGCTTTGTAAATGTGGATTCATCTCAAAGAGTTAAAACTTTCTTTGGATTCAGCAGGGAGGAAACACTCTTTTTGGAGTATCAGTGAAAGATCATTTGTGAGACCTTTGAGGCCTATGGGTAAAAACAACTATCCCAACGTAAAAACTAGAAAGAAGCAATCTGTGAAATTGCTTTGTGATGTGTGGACTCATCTCTTACAGGTAAAGCCTTCTTTTGATTCAGCCACTTAGAACCACCCTTTTTGTAGAATCTGCCATGGAATATTTGTGAGCCCTTTGAGGCCAATGGGGAAAAATTAAATATCCCCAGATAAAAACTAGGAGGAAGCTATCCGTGAAACAGTTTTGTGATGTGTGGATTCATATCATAGAGGTAAAACGGTCTTTGATTCAGCATGTTGGAAGCAATCTCTTTGTAGAATATGCAAAGGGATATTTAGGAGCCCATTGGGGCCAAGGTGAGAAACCAAGTATCCTCAGATAAAAACTAGGAAGATGCTACATGTGAAACTGCTTTGTGATGTGTGAATTCATCTCACAGAGTTAAAATTTTCTTCTGACTCAGCAGGTTGCAGACACTCTCTTTGGAGAATTTGCAAAGGGATATTGGTGAGCTCATTGAGACCTATGGGGAAAAACAGAATATCACCAGATGAAAACTAGAAAGAAGCTATCAAAGAAAATGCTTTTGATATGTGTATTCATCTCCCAAAGTTAAACCTTTCTTTATATTCAGCAGGTTGGAAACACTCTTTCTGCATAATCTGTCAAGGGACATTTGAAAGCCCAATGAGGCCTAAGGGAAAAAAGGAATATACCCGGATAAACACTAGAAAGAATCTATTTGTGAAACTTATTTGTTATGTCTGGATTCATCTCACAGTCTTAAATATTTGTATTGATTAAGCAGGTTGGAGACACTCTTTATGGAGAAAGTACAAAGGAATATTTTGGAGCCCATTGAGGTCTACAGGGAAAAACTGAATATCCCTAGATAAAAACTAAAAAGGAGCTACCTGTGAAACTGCTTTGTAACATGTGGATTCATCTCAAAGATAGGGACCTTTTTTTTTTTTTTTGACTCAGCAGGTTGGAAACACTCTTTTTGTAGAATCTTCAAAGGGATATTTGTGAGCCCTTAGTGGCCTGAGGAAAAATCCAAATATCTATAGATAAAAACTAGAAAGAAGCTATCTGTTAAACTGATTTGGATAGGTGGATTCACCTCACAGAGCTAAATCTTTCTCTTGATTCAGAAGGCTTGAATCACTATTTTTGGAGAATCTGTGAGGGGACATTTTGGAGCTCATTGGGGCCTATAGGAACAAATTGAATATCCCCGGACAAAAACCAGGAAGAAGTTATCCATGAAATTGCTTTGTGATATATGGATTCATCTCAAAGAGTTAAACCTTTCTATTGATTCAGCAGGTTGGAAACACTACTTTTGTAAAAGCTGTCAAGGGACATTTGGGAGCTTACTGAGGACTACGGGGAAAAACAGAATATCCCAAGATGAAAACTAGGAAGAAGCTATCTGTGAAACCACTTTGTGATGTGTGGATTTATCTCATATAATTAAATATTTTTTTGATTCATCTGGTGAAAACACTCTTTTTGTAGAATCTGTGAAGAGACATTTGGGAGCCTTTTGAGGCCTATTTGGAAAAACAGATTATCCTCAGATAAATACTAAAAAGAAGCTATCTGAAAAACTGCTTTGTGATTTGTGGATTCATCTCATGGCATTAAACATTTCTTTTGTTTTAGCAGGTTGGAAACACTCTTTTTGGAGAATCCATGAAGGGACATTTTGGAGTCCTTTGAGGCCTATATGAAAAAACAGATTAACCACAGATAAAAACTATGAAGAAGCTATTTGTGAAACTGCTTTGTGATGTGTGAATTCGACTCACAGCATTAGAAATTTCTTTTAATTCAGCAGGTTGGAAACACCCTTTGTGATTATTTGTGAAGGGACTGTCTGTAGTCCATTGAGGTCTATAAACAAAAAAGAATATACCCAGATAATAACTAGAAAGAAGTTATGCATGAAGCTGCTTTGTGATTTGTAGATTCACCTCACAAAGTTAAAACTTTCTTTTGATTAAGCAAGTTGGAAACACTCTTTAAGGAGGATCTGCGAATGGACATTTGGGAGCGCATGAGGCCTATGGGGAAAAACAGAATATCCCCAGATAAAAACTATAAATAATCTATCTGTGAAACTGCCTTGTGAAGTGTGGCTTCATCCCACAGAGTTAAACCTTTCTTTTTATTAATCAGGCCAGAAACACTGTTTTTGGAGAATAGGTGAAGGGACATTCAGGATCCCATTGAAGTTTAAGGGAAAAAACTGAAATATCCCAAAATAAAAACTAGAAGGAAGCTAGCAGTGAAACTGTTTTGTGATGTGTGGATTCATCTCACAGAGTTAAGCCTTTCTTTTCATTCAGCAGGTTAGAAATACTCTTTTTGGAGAATCTGTGCAGGGACACTTGGGAGCACATTGAGGCCTATGGGCAATAATGAAATATCCCCAGATACAAACTAGAAAGAAACTATCAGTGAAACTGCTTTGTGATGTGTTGATTCATGCCACAGACTTAAGCCTTTCTTTTAATTCAGCAGATTTGAAATACTCTTTTTGTAGAATCTGCGAGGAGACATTTGGGAGCCCAATGAGGACTATGGGGAAAAAGAGAATATACCAAGAAAAAAACTAGAAAGAATATATTTGTGAAACTGCTTTGTGATGTGTGGATTCATACCACAGAATTAAACCTTTCTTTTAATTTAGCAGCTTGGAAACACCTTTTTTTCAGAAGTTGCAAAGGGACATTTGAGAGCTTGTTGAGGCCTATGGGGAAAAGGAGAATATACCCAGAAAAAAAAAACAGAAAGAAATTATCTGTGAAACTGCTTTGCAATGTGTGGATTCATCCACGGAGTCAAACATTTCTTTTGATTCAGTAGGTTGGAAACACTCATTTTGGAGAATTTGAAAAGGGATGTTAGGGTGCCCATTGAGACCTTTAAGGGAAAACCTAACAATCCCAGATAAAAACGAGAAGGAATCTATCGGTGAAACTCATTCATGATGTGTTGATTCACCTCACAGAGTTTAACGTCACTTTCTATTCAGCAGGTTGGAAACACTCTTTTTAAATATCTGTGAAGTGATATTTAGGAGCCCCTTGAGGACCGTGGGGAAAACCTGAATATTTCCATTAAAAAACTAGAAAGAAGCATCCCATCGATACCCAATTTATTGAGAGTTTTTAACATGAAGTGCTGTTGAATTTTGTTGTAGGCCTTTTCTGCATCGATTGAGTTAATCATGCAGTTTTTGTCATTGTTTCTGTTGATATACTGGATTATATTTATTGATTTGCTTATGTTGAACCACCCTTGCATACCAGGGATGAAGCCCACTTGATCATGGTGGATAAGCTTTTTGATGTGCTGCTGGATTCGGTTTGCCAGTATTTTATTGAGGATTTTTGCATCGATGTTCATCAGAGATATTGGTCTAAAATACTCTTTTTTTGTTGTGTCTCTGTCAGGCTTTGGTATCAGGATGATGCTGGCCTCAGATAATGAGTTAGGGAACATTCCCTCTTTTTCTATTGATTAGAATAGTTTCAGAAGGAATGGTACCATCTTCTCCTTGTACCTCTGGTAGAATTCGGCTGTGAATCCATTTGGTCTTGGACTTTTTTGGTTGGTAAGTTATTAATTATTGCCTCAATTTCAGAGCCTGTTATTGGTCTATTCAGAGATTCAACTTCTTCCTGGTTTAGTCTTGGGAGGGTGTATATGTATAGGAATTTATCCATTTCTTCTAGATTTTAGTGTTGATTTGTGTAGAGTTGTTTATACTATTCTCTGATGGTAGTTTCTATTTCTGTGGGATCAGTGGTGATATCCCCTTTATCATTTTTATTGCATCTATTTGATTCTTCTCTCTTTTCTTCTTCATTAGTCTTGCTAGTGGTCTATCAATTTTGTTGATCTTTTCAAAGAACCAGCTCCGGGATTCATTGACTTTTTTGAAGGGTTTTTTTGTACGTCTATCTCCTTCAGTTCTGCTGTGATTTTAGTTATTTCTTGTCTTCTGCTAGCTTTTGAATGTGTTTGCTCCTGATTTTCTATTTCTTTTAATTGTGATGTTAGGGTGTCAATTTTGGATCTTTCCTGCTTTCTCTTGTGGGCATTTAGTGCTACAAATTTCCCTCTACAATCTGCTTTAAATGTGTCCCAGAGATTCTGGTATGTTTTGTTTTTGTTCTCATTGGTTTCAAAGAACATATTTATTTCTGCCTTCATTTCGTTATGTGCCCAGTAGTCATTCAGGAGCAGGTTGTTCAGTTTCCATGTAGTTAAGCAGTTTTGAGTGAGTTTCTTAATCCTGAGCTCTAGTTTGATTGCACTGTGGTCTGAGAGACAGTTTGTTATAATTTCTGTTCCTTTACATTTGCTAAGGAGTGCTTTACTTCCAACTATGTGGTCAATTTTGGAATAAGAGTGATGTGGTGCTGAAAAAATGTATATTCTGTTGATTTGGGGTGGAGAGTTCTGTAGATGTCTATTAGGTCCACTTGGTGCAGAGCAGAGTTCAATTCCTGGATATCCTTGTTAACTTTCTGTCTCCTTGATCTGTCTGATGTTGATAGTGGGGTGTTAAAGTCTCCCATTATTAATGTGTGGGAGTCTAAGTCTCTTTGTAGGCCTCTAAGGACTTGCTTTATGAATCTGGGTGCCCCTGTATTGTGTGCATATATATTTAGAATAGTTAGCACTTCCTGTTGAATTGATCCCTTTACCATTATGTGATGGCCTTCTTTGTGTCTTTTGATCTTTGTTGGTTTAAAGTCTGTTTTATCTGAGACCAGGATTGCAACCCCTGCCTTTTTTTTTGTTTTCCATTTGCTTGATAGATCTTCCTCCATCCCTTTATTTTGAGCCTATGTGTGTCTCTGCATGTGAGATGGGAATCCTGAATACAGCACACTGATGGGTCTTGACTCTTTATCCAATTTGCCAGTCTGTGTCTTTTAATTGGAGGATTTACCCCATTTACATTTAAGGTTAATATTGTTTTGTGTGAACTTGATCCTGTCATTATGATGTTAGCTGGTTATTTTGCTCATTAGTTCATGCAGTTTCTTCCTAGCATCAATGGTCTTTACAATTTGGCATGTTTTTGCAGTGGTTGGTATCAGTTCTTCCTTTCCATGTTTAGTGCTTCCATCAGGAGCTCTTGTAGGGCAGGCCTGGTGGTGACAAAAAGTCTCAGTGTTTGCTTGTCTGTAAAGGATTTTATTTCTCCTTCTCTTAGGAGCTTATTTTGGTTGGATATGAAATTCTGGGTTGAAAATTCTTTTCTTTAATAATGTTGAATATTGGCACCTACTCTCTTCTGGCTTTTAGAATTTCTGCTGAGAGAACAGCTGTTAGTCTGATGGGCTTCCATTTGTGGGTAACCTGACCTTTCTCTCTGGCTGCCCTTAACATTTTTACCTTCATTTCAACTTTGATGAATCTCACAGTTGTGTGTCCTGGAGTTGCTCTTTTATGACAAAGCCACAGCCAATATCATACTGAATGGACAAAAACTAGAAGCATTCCCTTTGAAAACTGGCACAACAGAGGGATGCCCTCTCTCACCACTCATATTCAATATAGTGTTGGAAGTTCTGGCCACGGCAATATGGCAGGAGAAAGAAATAAAAGGTATTCAATTAAGAAAGAGGAAGTCAAATTGTCCCCGTTTGCAGATGACATGATTGTATATCTAGAAAACTCCAAAGTGTCAGCCCAAAACCTCCTTAATTTGACAAGCAACCTCAGGAAAACTCAAGACACAAAATCAATGTGTAAAAATCACAAGCATTCTTATACACCAATAACAGACACACAGAGAGCCAAATCATGAGTGAACTCCCATTCACAATTGCTTCAAAGAGAATAAAATACCTAGGAATCCAACTTACAAAGGACGTGAAGGACCTCTTCAAGGAGAGCTACAACCCACTGCTCAATGAAATAAAAGAAGACACAAGCAAATAGAAGAACATTCCATGCTCATGGATAGGAAGAATCAATATCGTGAAAATGGCCATACTGCCCAAGGTAATTTATGGATTCAAAGCCAGCCACATCAAGCCACCAATACCTTTCTTCACAGAAATGGAAAAAACTACTTTAAAGTTCATATAGAACCAAAAAAGAGCCCTCATTGCCAAGTCAATCCTAAGCCAAAAGAACCAAGCTGGAAACATCATGCTACCTGACTTCAAACTATACTACAAAGCTACAGTAACTAAAAAAAAACAGCATGGTACTGGTACCAAAACAGAGATATAGACCAAAGGAACAAAACAGAGCTCTCAGAAATAATGCCACACATCTACAACCATCTGATCTTTGACAAAACTGACAAAACTAAGAAATGGGGAAGGATTCCCTATTCAATAAATGGTGCTGGGAAAACTGGCTAGCCATATGTAGAAAGCTGAAACTGGATCCCTTGCTTACACCTTATACAAAAATTAATTCAAGATGGATTAAAGACTTAAATGTTATGCTTAAAACCATAAAAACCCTAGAAGAAAATCTAGGCAATACCATTCAGAACATAGGCAACGGCAAGGACTTCATGCCTAAAACACCAAAAACAATGGTAACAAAAGCCAACATTGAGAAAAGGGATCTAATTAAACTAAAGAGCTTCTGCACAGCAAAAGAAACTACCATCAGACTGAACAGGCAACCTACAGAATTGGAGAAAATTTTTGCCATCTACTCCTCTGACAAATGGCTAATATCCAGAATCTACAATGAACTCAAACAAATTTACAAGAAAAAACAAACAACCCCATCAAAAAGTGGGCAAAGGATATGAACAGACACTTCTCAATGGAAGACATTTTTACATACAACAGACATGAGAAAATGCTCATCATCACTGGCCGTCAGAGAAGCGCACATCAAAGCCACAATGAGATAGCATCTCATACTAGTTAGAATGGCGATCACTAAAAAGTCAGGAAACAACAGGTGCTGGAGAGGATGTGGAGAAATAGGAACACTTTTACGATGTTGGTGGGATTGTAAAGTAGTTCAACATCTGTGGAAGACAGTGTGACAATTCCACAAGGATCTAGAACTAGGAAAACCATTTGACCCAGCCATCCCATTACTGGGTGTATGCCCAAAGGATTATAAATCATGCTGCTATAAAGACACATGCACACGTATGTTTATTGCAGCACTATTCACAATAGCAAAGACTTGGAACCAACCCAAATGTCCATCAATGATAGACTGGGTTAAGAAAATGTGGCACATATACACCATGGAATACTATGCAGCCACAAAACAGGATGAGTTCATGTCCTTTGTAGGGACATGGATGAAGCTGGAAACCATCATTCTCCGCAAACTATCACAAGGACAAAAAACCAAACACTGCAAATTCTCACTCATAGGTGGGGATTGAACAATGAGAATGCTTGGTTGCAGGGAAGGGAGCATCACACACTGGGACCGGTTGTGGGGTTGGGTGAAGGGGGAGGGATATCACTAGGAGATATACCTAATATAAATGATGAGTTAATGGGTGCAGCACAACAATATGGCACACGTATACATATGTAACCAACTTGCACGTTGTGAACATGTACCCTAGAACTTAAAGTATAATAATAATAATAAAATCTAGAAAGAAACTTTCCATAAAACTGCGTTGTGATGTATGGATTCATCTAAAAGAGTTTAATCTTTCTTTTGATTCAGTATGATGAGAATACTCTTCTTGTAGAATGTGTGAAGAGACATTTCGGAGCCCATGGGGTAAAACTGAATATCACCAGATAAAAACTAGAAAGAAGGTATCTGTGATACTGCTTTGTGTTGTGTGGATTCTTCTCATGGAAATAAACCTTTCCATTGACTCAGCAGGTTGGAAACACTCTTTTTATAGTATCCTCAAAGAAACATTTATGACCCTATAAAGCCCTAGGGGGAAAACTGAATATCCCCAGATAAAAATGGGAAAGAAGGTATATGTGAACCTGCTTTGATTTGTGTGGGTTTATTTCACATAGTTAAACCTTTCTTTTGATTCAGCAGATAGGAAACACTCTTGCTGGAAAATCTTCAAAGGAGATTTTGGAGCCCATTTTTGTCCATGGAAAAAAAGCTAATATCATTAGATAAATCCTACAAAGAAGTTATCTGTGAAACTGCTTTGTGAGTGTGAATTCATTTCACAGACTTAAGCATTTCAATGGATTCAACAGGTTGGAAACACTTTTTTTGGAGAATGTGCAAAGGGACATTTGCCAGCCCATTGAAGTCTATGGGGAAAAACTGAATATCCACAGATAAAAACTAGAAAGAAGCTATCTGTGAAAACTGCTTTGTAATGTGTGGACTCATCTCACAGGGCTAAACTTTTTTTTTGGATTCAGCCTGCTGGAAACACTGTTTTTGAACAATCAGCAAAAAAAAATAATGCACCCTTTGAGGCCTATGGAGAAAAACAATATCCCTATGTAAAAATTATAAGGAAGCTAACTGTGAAACTGCTTTCTTGTGGGTGGATTCATCACACAGATTTAAACCTTTCCTTTGATTCAGCATTTTGGAAACCCTCTGAATGGAGATCTGGAAAGGGACATTTGGAAGCATATTAAAGCCTGTGGGGGAAAAAACGTAATATTCCCAGGTAAAAGCCAGAAGGAAGCTATGTGTGAAACTGCTTTATGATGTGTTGATTCATCTCAAAGAGGTAAACCTTTCATTTGGTTTCATAGGTTGGAAACACTCTTTTTGGAGAATATGCAAAGTAACATTTGGGAACACTTTGAGGTCTATAAGGAGAAACAGAATGTCCCCAGATAAAAACTAGAATGAAGTTATCTGTGAAACTGCTTTGGGATGTGTGGATTCACCTCACAGAGATAAACCTTCCTTTTCATTCGGCATCTTGGAAACAGTCTTTATGTAGAGTCTGTGAAGGAACATTTGGGGACTGTTTGAAGCCTATGGCAAAGAACTGAATATCCCCAGATAAAAACAAAAAAGAAGCTATCTGTGAAACTGCTTTGTGTTGTGTTGATTCATCTCACTGAGTTAAACCTGTTTTTTCATCCAGCAGTTTGGAGCACTCTTTTTAGAGAACCTGTGAAGGAACACTTTGAACTGCATTGAGACCTATATGTAAAAACAAAATATCCACAGATAAAAACAGGAAGAAGATATCTGTGAAACTTGTCTGTGTTGTGTGGATTCATCTCACAAGGTTAAAACTTTTTTTGGTCCAACAGGTTTGAAACACACATTTTGGAGAATCTGTGAAGGAACAATTTATAGCCCTTTGAGGCCTATAAGTAAAAACAGAATATTCCCAGATAAAAACTACAAATAACCTATCTGTGAAACTGCATTGTTTTGTGTGGATTCATGTCAGAGAGTTAAACGTTTCCTTTATGCATCTTGTTGGAAACACTCTTTTTAGGGAATCTGAGAATAGACCGTTGGGAGCCCACTGAGGCCTATGGGGAAAAGTGAATATTTCCAGACAAAAACTAGAAAGACTTCTTTATCTGTGAAATCACTTTGTGTGTGTGGATGAATGTTACAGAGTTAAACCTTTCTTTTAATTCAGCAGGTTGGAGACTTTCTTTTTGTAGGATCTGTGATGGGACATTTGGGACCACTTGAGGCCTATGGGAAAAAAACGAATATCTCCAGAGAAAAACTAGAAATAAGCTATCTATGAAACTGATTT
Source organism: Homo sapiens (assembly GCF_000001405.40). Classification (NCBI taxonomy): domain Eukaryota; kingdom Metazoa; phylum Chordata; class Mammalia; order Primates; family Hominidae; genus Homo; species Homo sapiens. The sequence continues at coordinate 43,871,448 of NC_000008.11, forward strand.
TTGATGTGTGGATTAATCTCACAGAGTTAAACCTTTCTTTTAATCCAGCAGATTGGAAACACTCTTCTTGGAGAATATGCAAGGCGACATTTTGCAGCCCATAGATCACTATGGTGAAAAACCGAATATCCCCAAATAAAAGCTAGGAAGAAGCAAGATGTGAAACTACTTTGTGATGTGTGCATTCCTATCCCAGAGTTAAATTTTTCAGTTGCTTCAGCAGGTTAGAAACACTATTTGTGGAGCTTCTGCGAAGGCACAGTTGGGAGCCCATGAAGCTAGTGAAGAAAAACCGAATATCCCGAGGTAAAACCTGGAGAGAAGCTATCTGTGAAACTGCTTTGTTATGTGTGGATTCAACTCAAAAATTAAGCTTTTCTTTTGATTCAGCATGTTGGAAACACTCTTTTTGGAGGAACTTTGAAGGGACATTTGAAGCCATTTGTGCATTATAAGTAAAAACCAAATATCCGCAGATAAAAACTAGTCAAAGAAGCTATCTGAGAAATTGCTTTGTGTTGTGTGGATTCATCTCACAGAGTTAAACCTTTCTTTTGATACAGCACTTTGGAAACATTCTTTCTTGAAAATCAGCAAAGAGACATTTGGGAGCCCATTGAAGCTAATGGGAAAAAAATCAAATATCTCCATATAAAAACTAGAAAGAAGCTTTCTATGAAACTGCTTTGTGATGTGTGGATTCGTTTCCCAAAGGTAAACGTTTCTATTGATACAGCAGGTTGAAAACACTCTTCCTGTAGAATCTGTGAGGGGACTTTTCGGAGCCCAATGAGGCCAGGGAGAAAAATCAAATATACCCAGATAAAAACTAGAAAGAAGCTATTTGTGAAACTGCTTTATGATGTATGGATTCATCTCACAGAGGTAAATTTTTCTTCTTATTCAGCAGGTTGAAAACACTCTATTTGTTTAATCTACTAATGGACGTTTTAAGGCCCACTGATGCATATGGGGAGAAACTGAACATCCCCAGATAAAAATTAGAAAGAAACTAACTGTAGAACTGATTTTTGTTGTGGGGATTTATCTCAAAGATTTAATTCTTTCATTGGGTTCACCAGGTTGGAAACGCTCTTTTTGGAGAATCTGTGAAAGGACATTTGAAAGTCCATTGTCGCCTGTCTGGGAAAGCAGATTATCCCAAGATAAAAAGTAGAAACAAGATATCTGTGAAATGGCCTAGTGTTGTTTAGATTCATCTCACAGAATTAAATCTTATTTTTGATTCAGTAGGTTGGAAACACTCTTTTTGGAGAATCTGAGAAGAGACATTTGAGAGCACTTTGGAGCTTATGGGGAAAAACTAAATATCCCAATATAAAAATTAGAAGAAGCTATCTGTGAAACTGCTCTGTTATGTGTGGATACATCTCACAGAGCTAAAGTTTTCTTTTGATTCAGTAGGTTGTAAACACTCTTATTCGAAAATCTGCAAAGGGATATATGGGTTCCATTGAAGTCAAAAGGGAAAAAGTGAATATCCCTTTAAAAAACTAGAATGAAGCTATCTGTGAGACTGATTTTGGAGGTGTGGATGAATCTCATAGGGTTAAAACTTTCCTTTGATTCAGAAGGAATCACTCTTCTTATAGAAGAGTGGAAGCACTCTTCTTATAGAATCTGTAAAGGGACATTTGGAAGCCCATGGAAGCCTAGGAGAAAAACTGAATATCCCCAGATTAAAACTAAAAGGAAGCTATCTGTGAAACTGCTTTGTGATGTGTGGATTCATGTCACAGAGTTAAATTTTTCTTCTGATTCAGCAGGTTGGAAACATACTTTTTGTAGAATCTGCAGAGGGATATTTGGAAGCCCATTGAGGCTTATGCATAAAAATGGAATATCCACAGATAAAACCTACAAAGAATCTATCTGTGAAACTGCTTTGTGATGTGTGGATTTATTTCACAGATGTGAATCTTTCTTTTGATTTGGAAGATTGTAAACACTCTTTTTGGAGTATCAATGAAAGGACATTTGGAAAAACGTATTATCCCAAGATAAAAACTAGAAAGAAGCTATCAGTGAAATATCATTGTGATGTGTGAACTCATCTCTCAGAGGTAAACATTTCTTTTGATTCAGCAGGTTGGAAACACACTTTTTGTAGAATCGGTGAAGGGACATTTGCAGCTTTTTGAGGCCAACGGGGAAAAAAAAGAATATCCCAAGATAAAAGGTAGAAAGAGGCTGCCTGTGTAAGTTCTTCTGATGTGTGGATTCAACTCACAGAGTTAATCCTAGCTTTTATTCCTCAGGTTGCAAACACTATTTTTCAAGAATCTGCAAAGAGACTTTTGGGAACCCTTTGAGGCTTATGAAGAAAAATCAATTATCCCAAGGTAAAAACTAGATAGAAGCTATATGTCAAACTGTTTTGTGATGTGAGGATTCATCTCACAGAGTTAAACATTTCTTTTGATTCAGCAGGTTGTAAAATCTCTTTTTGGAGAATCTGAAAAGGAACAGTTCAGAACCCATTGAGGCCTAAGGAGAAAAACTGAATATCCCCAGATAAAAACTAGAAAAAAGCTATCTGTTGAACTGCTTCTTGATATGTGCATTAATCTCACAGAGTTAAATCTTTCTTCTTCCCCAGCAGGAAAACACTTTTTTTTGGAGAATGTGTAAAGGAACATTTTGCAGCCCATTGATCACCACGGGGGAAAAATGAATATACATGAATAAATACCATAAAGAAGCAATGTGTGAAACTGCTTTGTGATGTCTGCATTCCTATCTCATAGTTAAATTTCTTAGTTGACTCAGCAGGTTGGAAACACTATTCTTGGAAAATCTGTGAAGGGACTTTTGGGAGCCCATTGAGGCTAATGGGGAAAAACAGAATATCCCCAGATAAAAACTAGAATAAAGATACCTGTGAAACTGCTTTGTGATATGTTGATTCATCTCACATAGTTAAACCTTTGTTTTAACCAGCAGGCTGGAAACTCTTTTTGTAGAATCTGCCATGGTACTTTTGGGACCCCACTGAAACCTATGGGGAAAAACTGAATATCCCCAGATAAATCTAGAAAGAAGCTTTCTGTGAAAACGCTTTGTGATGTGTAGATTCATCTCACAAAGGTAAACGTTTCTACTGATTCAGCAGGTTGAAAGCACTATTTCTGGATATCTGTGAAAAAAAAATTGTGCACCCATTGAGGCCTATGGGGAAAAACCAAATGTCCAAAGATAAAAAACAGAAAGAAGCTATTTTTGAAACTGCTTTGTGATGTGTGAATTCACTTCATGGAGCTACATTTTTCTTTTGATTCAGCAGGTTGGAAACACTCTCTTTTTAGAATCTGTGAACAAACATTTGAGGGCCCTTTGAGGTCTACAGAGAGAAAGCAAATATCCCCCAATAAAGAAAGAAGCTAGCTGTGAAACTTCTTTTTCATGTGTGGTTTTATTTCATGGAGTTAAATCTTTCTTTGATTCAGCAGGTTGGAAACACTCTTTTTGGAGAACCTGTGAAAGGACATTAGGGAGTACATTGTTGCCTATGGGGAAAAGCAGAATATCCCCAGATAGAAACTAGAAAGAAGATTTCTGTGAAACTGCTTTGTGATGTGTGGATTCATCTGACAAAGTTAAACCTTTCTTTTGATTCAGCAGGTTGAAAACACTCTTTTTGGAGGATCTGCATAGGGATATTTTGGTGCCATAGAGACCTTAGAAGAAAAACTGAATATCCCCAGATAAAAATTAGAATAAAGTTATCTGTGGAACTGCTTTGGGATATGTGGATTCATCTCACAGTGTTAAATTTTCTTTTCATTCAGTAGCTTGGAAACACCCTTTTTGTAAAATCTGTTTGGATTAGAAACAGAAAAAATAAGCATTGAAAAGGCAGGTACAGGAGACCAGAGCATCAGTGGCTTGCTCACAGCCCAGAGCTCTTGGACTCCACCCAATTTATTGTTTTACAAGCTCTCTCTTCTTAGAGCAGATGGGAGGGTTAGGAAGGGATGAGACAAAGGATTTATGAGTGAAGGAGAACTCATGAGTCTTTTGACATGATATATAGCAGTGACGAGTTCTAGCTTCTCCCTAGTTTTTATCTAGGGATATTCAGTTTTTCCAGATAGGCCTCAATGGGATTCCAAATGTCCCTTTGAGGATTCCCCAAGAAGACTGTTTACAACCTGCTGAATCTAAAGAAATGCTTAACTCTGTGAGATGAATCCACGCATCACAAAGCAATATCACTGAAAGATTATTTTTAGTTTTTATATGAGGATATTCAGTTTTTCCTCGTAGTCCTCAATGTCCCTTTGCATATTCTACAAAAAGAGTGTTTCCAACCTGCTTAATCAAAAGATAGTTTTAAGTCTGTGAGATGAATCTACACATCACAAAACAGTTTCACAAGTAGCTCTTTCTAGTTTTCATATGGGTATATTCAGTTTTTCCATATAGGCCTCAATGAGCTCCCAAATATTTCTTTGCAGGTTCTTTAAAAACAGTATTTCCAATATGCTGAATCAAAACAGAGGTTTAACTCTTTGAGAATTCACACCTCACAAAGCAGTTTCACAGATAGGTCCTTTGTAGTTTTTATCCTGGGGTTTTCACTTTATTCTCATAGGCCTCAATGGGCTCTCAAAGTCCATTCACAGATTCTCCAAAAGGAGTGTTTCCCACCTCCTGAATCAAAAGAAAAGTTTAACTCTGTGAGATGAATCCACACATCACAAAGAAGTTTCCCAGATTGCTTCTTTCCAGTTTTTATCTGGGGATATTTTGTTTTTCCTCATAGGCCTCAAAGGGCTCCCAAATGTTTCTTCATAGATTCTCCAAAAGGAGTGTCTTCAACCTCCTGGACCAAAAGAAAGGTTTAAGTCCATGAGATGAATCCATACAATACAAAACAATTTCACAGATAGCTTCCTTCTAGTTTTCATCTGGGGATATTCTGTTTTCATCTATAGGCCTCAATGGGCTCCTAAATGTCCCTTTGCAGATTCTACATAAAGATTGTTTCCAACCGGCTGGATGAAATGATAAGCTAAATTCTGTCAGATGAACCCACACATCAAAAAGCAGTTTCAGAGATAGTTTCCTTCTCGTTTTTATGTGAGAATATTCTGTTTTTTACCATAGGTCTCAATGGGCTTCCAAATAACATTTCACTGATACTGCAATTAGAGTGTTTCCAACCTGGTGAATCAAAAGGAGGTATTATTTCTGTGAGATGAATTCACACGTCACAAAGCAGTTTCACAGATATGTTCTTTCTAGTTTTTATCTCGGGATATTCAGTGTTTCCACATAGGCCTCAATGGGCTCCCAAATGTCTTTTCACAGATTATGTTAAAAAAAATTGCCAACCTGCCTAATCAAAAGAAAGGCTTAACTCTGCGTGATGAAGCCATACATCACAAAGCACTTTCACAGATAGCTTCTTTCTAGTTTTTATCTGGGGATATTCAGTTTTTCCTCATAGGCCTCAAAGGTATCCCATATGTTTCCTCACAGATTCTCAAAAAAAGAGTGTTTTCAACCTGCTGGATCAAAAGAAAGTTTGAAATCTGTCAGATGAATACACACAACACCAAGCAGTTTCATACATAGCATCTTTCTAGTTTCTATCTGGGGTTATTGTGTTTTTCCACATAGGCCAAATTGGTGTCCAAAACGTCCCTATGAAGATTCTACATAAAGATCTTTTTCCAACCTACTGGATGAAGAGAAAGTTTAAATCTGTGAGATGAATCCACACATCAAAAGTCACTTTCACATATAGCTTCCTTCGAGTTTTTATCTGAGGATATTCAGTTTTTTAAAATAGGCACTAGAGGGCTGCCAAATGTCCCTTTGACGATTCTCCAAAGAGAGTGTTTCCAACCTGCTGAATCAAAAGAAAGGTTTAACTCTGTGAGATGAATTCACACATCACAAGGCAGTTTCACAGATAGCTTCCTTCTCGTTTTGATCTGAGGATATTCAGTGTTTCCGCATAGTCTCAATGGGCTCAATGGGCTTCCAAATATCCCTTCACAGATTCTCCAAAAAGAGTGTTTCCAACTTGCTGAATCAAAAAAAAAAAAAAAAAGATTTAACTTTGAGAGATGAATCCACACATCAGAAAGCAGTTTCACTGATAGCTTCTTTCTCGTATTTATTTAGGGGTATTCAGCTTTTCCCCATAGACTTTAATGGGCTCTCAAATGTCCCTTCACAGATTCTACAAAAAGAGTGTTTCCAATCTGCTGAATCAAAGAAAGTATTAACTCTCTGAGATGAATCCACACATCACAAAGCCATTTCACAGACAGCTTCTTTCTACTTTTTATCTGGGGACATTCTGTATTACCACATAGGCCTTAATGTGCTCCCAAATGTCCATTAACAGATTCTCAAATAAATGGTTTCCTACCCGCTGAACCAAAAGAAGAGTTTAACACTGTGGGATAAATCCACAGATCACAAAGAAGTTTCATATACAGATAATTTCTGGTTTTTATATGGGGATATAAAGTTTTTTCCCATAGTCTTCAGTGCTCCCCCAAATGTAACTTCACATATCCTTCAAAAGAGTGTTTCAAATCTGCTGAATTAAAAGAAAGGTTTAACTCTGTGAGATGAATCCACACATCATAAAGAAGTTTCCCAGATAGCTTTTTTCTAGTTTTTATTTGGGGATATTCTGTTTTTCCACATAAGCCTCAATGAGCTCACAAATGTCCCTTGGCAGTTTCTTTAAAAACAGAGTTTCCAAGCTCCTGAATCAAAACAAAAGTTTAACCTTATGAGGTGAATCCAGACGTCACAAAGCAGTTTAACAGATAGGTTCTTTCTAATTTTTATCTGGGGATATTTGGTTTGTTTCCATAGGCCTCAATAAGCTGCCAGAAGTCCCTTCACAAATTCTCCCAGAAGAGTGTTTCCAACCTGCTGAATCAAAAAGAAGTTTTAACTCTGTGAGATGAATCCACAGCCCACGAAGCAGTTTCACAGATTGGTTCTTTCTAGTTTTTTGGGGGTTAATTGGATTTTTCCCATAGGCCTCAATGGGCTCCCATATGTCCCTTTGCAGATTTCCCCAAAAAAGTGGCCACAACCTGCTGAATCAAAAGAAATGTTTACCTCTGTGAGATGAATCCACACATCACAAGGCAGTTCCACAGATAACTTCTTTCAAGTGTTTATCTGGGGATATTTTTTCCCCATAGGCCTCACTGGGCTCCAAAATGTCCCTTAGCAGATTCATTAAAGACAGTGTTTCCAAAACGCTAAATCAAAACAAAGGTTTAACTCTGAGAGATGAATCCACACATCACAAAGTAGTTTCACAGACACCTTCTTCATAGTTTGTATCTGGAAATATTCGGTTTTTCTATATAGGCCTAAAAGGGCTGCAAAATTCCCTTCACAGATTCTCCAAAGATTGTGTCTCCAAATTGCTGGATGAAAAGAAAAGAAAGGTTTTACTCTTTGAGAAGAATGTACACATCACAAAGCAGTTTCACTGATAGCTTCTTTCTAGTTTTTATCTGAAGATATTCTGTGTTTACCCATAGGTCTCAATGAACTCCCAAATGTCCTTTCAAAGATTCTCCAAAAAGAGTGTCCCCAACCTATGGAATCAAAAGAAAGGCTGAATTCTGTGAGATGAATCCACACATCACAAAGGAGTTTCACAGATAGCTTCTTTCTACTTTTCATCTAGGGATATTCAGTTTTTTCCCAAAGGCCTCAGTGGGGTTTCAAATGTCGCTTTACAAATACTACAAAAAGAGAGTTTTGAAATTCTGGATCAAAAGAACAGTTTAACACTCAGGTAAATTCACACATCACAAAACAGGGTCACAGATAGCTTCATTCTAGTTTTTATTTAGGGATATTCTGTTTTTCTTCATTGTATTCAATGTGCCCCCAAATGTCCCTTCCGAGTTGTCCACAAAGCAGTTTAACACATAGCTTCTTTCTAGTCTTTATCTGAGGATATTTATTTTTTCCCCTTAGGCTTCAATGGACTCCCAAATGTCCCATCACAGATTCTCCGAAAAGAGTGTGTCCAACCTGCTGAATAAAAAAAAAATGGTAGTTTTTTCCCATAGGCCTCAATGGGCTCCCAAGTGTCCCTTCATAGATTCTCCAAAAAGAGTGTTTCCAACCTTCTGGATCAAAAGAAAGTTTTAAATCTGTGAAAGGAATCCACGCCTCAGGAAGCTGTTTCACAGATAACTTCTTTGTAGTTTTTTCCCTTAGGCCTCAATGGGCTCCCAAATATTTCTTTGCAGATTCTCCCATTAGAGTGTTTCCAACCTGCTGAACCAAAAAAAGGTTTATCTCTGTGAGATGAAGCCACATAAAACCAAGCAGTTTCACAGAAACTTCTTTGTAGATTTTAAAGAGGAATATTTGGCTACTCACCATAAGCCTCTATGAGTTCCCTAATGTCCCCTCGCAGATTCTACAAAAAGAGTGTTTCCACCCTGCTGACTCAAAAGAAAGGTTTATCTGTGTGAGATGAATCCACACATCACAAAGCAGTTTATCAGATAGTTTCTTTCCAGTTTTTATATGGGAATATTTGGATTTTTCCCCACAGGCCTCAATGGGCTCCAAAATGTGCCTTTGTAGACTCTAAAAAAGAGTGTTTCCAAACTTCTGAATCAGAAGAAAAATTTTATTTTGTGAGATGAATCCACACATCACAAAGCAGTTTCATGAATAAGTTCATTCTAGTTTTATCTCGGGATATTTGTGTTTTCCCCATAGGCTTCAATTGGCTCCCAAATGTCCCTTTGCTGATTATTTAAAAAGAGTGTTTCCAACCTGCTGAATCAAAAGTAAGGTTTAACTTTGTGAGATGAATCCACCCATCAAAAACCAGTTTCACTGATAGCTTCTTTCTAGTTTTTAGCTGGAAATACTTGGTTTTTCCCAATAGGCCTCAATGGACTCTGAAATGTGCCTTTGATGATTTTCCAAAAAGAGTGTTTCCAACCTGCTGAATGAAAAGAAAGGTTTACCTCTGTGATATGAATCCAGACAACACAAAGCAGATTCATATATAGCTTCCTTCTAGTTTTTACCTGTGGATATTCAGCTTATCCCCATAGACCTCAATCGGTTCCCAAATGTCTGTTGATAGATTCTGCAAAAACAATGTTTCCTGTCTGCTGAATCAAAAGAAAGTTTTAACTTTGTGAGATGTATCCACACATCACAAAGCAGTTTCAGAAATAGCTTCTGTCTAATTTTTATATGGGGATATTCTGTTTCTCCCCTTATGCCTCAATTGGCTCCGAAGTCTCCCTGGGCAGATTCTATAAAAAGAGTATTTCTATCCTGCTGAACCAAGAGAAAGGTTTAACTCTGTGAGATGAATCCAGAGATCACAAAGCAGTTTCATGGATAGCTTCTTTCTAGTTTTTATCTGGGGATATTCGATTTTTCCCAATACGCCCCAAAGGTCTTCGATATGTCCCTTCTCATATTCTCCAAAAATAGTATTTCCAACCCATTGAATCAATAGAATGCTTTAACTCTGTGAGATGAATCCACTCATCACAATGCTTTGCAGATAACTTCTTTCTAGTTTTTATCTGGGGATATTAAGGTTTTTTTCCATGGGACCCAATTGGCTACAAAATGTCCCTTGACAGATTCTACAAAAACAGTGTTTCAAACCTGCTGAATCAGGAGAAAAGTTTAACTCTGTGAGATGAATCCACACATCAGAAAGCAGTTTCACAGAGAGCTTCTTTCTAGTTTTTTTTTCCAGGGATATTTGGTTTTTCCCCAAGGGTCTGAAAGGGCTCCCAAATGTTCCTTCACAGATTCTACAAAAAGCAGGTTTCCAACCTGTTGAATCAAAAGAAAGGTTTAAATCTCTGAGATGAATTCACACCTCACAAAGCAGACTCACAGATAGCTTCTTTTTTGTTTTTATCTGGGGATAGTCAATTTTTCCCAATATGTGTTAAAGGTCTCCCAAATGTCCCTTTGAAGATTCTTTAAAATGAGTGTTTCCTACCTGCTGAATCCAAAGAAATATTTAACTCTGTGAGCTGAATCCACTCATCAGAAAGCAGTTTCAGAGAAATCTTCTTTCTAGTTTTTATCAGGGGATATTTGGTTTTGACCCATAGGCCTCAAAGAGCTCCCACATGTCCCTCCACAGATTCTCCAAAAAGAGTATTTCCATCCTGCTGAATAATAGAAAGCTTTGTCTCTGTGAGATGAATCCACACATCACAAAGCAGTTTCACAGATTCCCTTCTTTCTACTTTTTATCTGGGGATATTTGGTTTTTCCCAATAGTATTCAATGTGCTCCCAAATATCCCTTTGAAAACACTACAAAAAGAGTGTTTCCAAACTGCCGAAAAAAAAGGACAGGTTTAACTCTGTGAGATGAATCCACACATCACAAAGCAGTTTCACAGATAGCTTCTTTCTCGTTTTTATCTGGACATGTTTAGATTTTCCCCATTGGTCTCAATGATACCCAAATGTCTTATCAGAGATTCTACATAAAGAGTGTTTCCAACCTGCTTAATCAAAAGAATGGTTTAACTTAGTGAGGTGAATGCATACATTGCAAAGCAGTTTCAAAGATAGCTTCTTTCTAGTTTTTACCTGGGGATATTCTGTTTTGCCCTACAAGCCTCAATGGTCTCCCTAATGTTCCTTCTCAGATTCTACAAGTGCGTTTCAAACCTGGTGAATCAAAAGAAAGTTTTAACCCTGTGAGATGAATCCAGATATCAAAAAGCAATTTCACAGACAGTTTCTTTATAGTTTTTATCTGCAGATATTCCATTTTGCCCCATAAGCCTCTATGGGCTCCCAAATGTCCCTTTGCAGATTCTCCAAAAAGAGTATTTCTAACCTTCTAAATCAAAAGAATGGTTTACCTCTGTGAGGTGAATCCAGACATCACAGAGCAGTTTCACAGATAGCTTTTTTTCTAGTTTTTATGTCGGGATATTCTGTTTTTCCCCTTAGACCACAATGGGCTCTGAAATGTCCCTTAGCAGATTCTCCAAAAGGAGTGTTTCCTGTGGGGTAAACCAGCTCCACACCACCCCGTGGGTGCCCCTAGTCTGGTGGAGATAAGAGGAGTTAGAAAGGGTCCGAATAAGCGTTTAAATTGTGGGTCTAGTGGACCAGAGTTTTGGAGGGTTTCTCATGGCCCAGAGCTGTCAACCTTCACCCAATGTATTGATTTACAAGCTCTTTGCTCTTAGGGCAGATGGGAGGGGGAGTAAGGGATGAGGAAAAGGATTAATCAGTGAAGGAGAACTCATGATTCATTCGATATGAAGTACAGCAGTGGCTGTTTCTGTGAATTTCCTTGAGCAAAGGCGTGTGTCTAAACTACTTAAGATTGTTAATTTATTGGGACTGAAACAGGTGAGAGTGGGTTTCAGGAGGAGCCAAGGTGTTTGATTATGCTCCACTGCTTCAAAGGAGTTTTATCTCCCTGAGCAACCTGTGGAATGATGCAGAAGGTTTATGCTCTTGGGGCATAAAGACATGAAGGCAATAAGGAGACTTTTCTCATGCCACAATGGCTTCCCATAGGTGTCTCACACAGGTGAGATCAACTCACCTGGCACCCCAGCAACTCTTTTTCCTACATGTCCTCCGTTTTTGTCTTTATTAATGCTTTTTTCTTTAATAACCACCTTTGCTATAATGGCTCATTCACAGTGTCTGGCTTCTCTCCCCATGTGCTGTCCGCATCTGTAGATTAAAAACAAAGAGCATAAACAGACACAAGCCAAAATAAAATTTGGAATTGTTGATGCACCTATGGTTTTAATGCACTTTAAAGGATTGGAATTAGAAAGACCATCAGCAGCTCCAGCAAGATTATCAGTTCCAGGAAACAGGCTGAGATGCCTCAAATTTTTTTTTTCAGTTTAGCAATATCTAATGTTAAATTTTCTTCTTTTCCTTGTAGGTGACGTCTAATCATGTCCCAATTGTGTTCAGTAATATCATAAGAGCTAGGAGTAATACAGAAACCAGAAGTATTCCAATTACATTGCTTCTGAATTCTATGCTGCAAGCTCATAATCTGATCTCCCATCCAAATTACTGTTTGATGGAAATCATTAATTGAATTTGCCAATTTTTGATCTATTTCACTTTGGGAATTCCAAAGCTTAGAAGAAGTATTTGCTAACTATCCACAAATCCCGCAGTTTGATAGAAGAGTGCAAAGCAACACCAGCAGCAGCAGCAGTAGCTGTGACAGCTATAAGTCCCATGATCACAGCTTTTAAATTAAATAAGAATCTCTTTGATCTATTAAGTATTCCTTTTAGCACTTCAGTGATAATATGTATGGAGGGAGAGTCCTCCCAAGGTCTACTGACAGAAACAGATATCCAAACTCCTTCTCGGGACCTAACCAGTTGTACGCTGTAATCTTTATTAAAGGTAGAATTAATTCAGGTAATAAGATGACAGTTGAGGCATGATATGGTTTGACAGTCATGCAGGATATAATTATTTTTTCCCACTGCCAACATAAAAGGAGGTTTAACACAACTCTGCAATGGGACCATCTGATTAGAGGTCATGGCTACAACAAATCAAATTTTTTTACTATGGGTCTCTGTTTTATATTCTCCTTTCCAAATCTGAACTGGGGTTTGAGCCATCATTAACATCCACAATTCTGGATATTATGGACTTACAATTGGATCAACCATTTTTGGGCTTGGAGGAGCCATACCATTCTCCTCCCACTTAATAGGGTAATTTGTTTCTATTCTTCTATATAATTTTGGTGCATTATCTTGGTAGTCGTTTGCAAAAGGATTCTCTCAACAATCTTTGTGCTGTCCAGTACTATTTACTGCAAAGTGTCCCCTAGGGGCCCAAACAATTGTGATTCCATAGGAATTATTTTGCAGTACAGCAGCGCTGTTTGCAATACCATCTTCCCAGGTTAGCACCTCTATATTTACAGACCATTTAGTGGCCTGCAGGGCAGGGTTTCTTATTAGTTTTAAATTTATTAATCTGGTGATGTGTCATAACATAACCATGCTCAAGGTATTTAATAGTGTCCAAAGATTGAAATGTTCTTCTACTGATTGCATGAGTAGAGGCCTTTGATTCATTATGTGCAGGGACACAAACCATCCAAGTTTGTTTATCATAATTTAAACATCCTGCTGTTGGGCCCAGGCAGATGGGAAGAAAGAAATAACCAATGGAAACATTCATTAACATTCCTTCCTCCTCTGGATGAGTAGGACCTCAGTTATCTGTTGGTCCAGGCATCCCAACACTATCATTAATCTAAACCTCTACCCAGGGTTTTAACCACATAACAGACCTAATCAGTGGTGGGAATGGAATGTAGGCCCAAGTGTAATTTTCATCTGCCTTAGCAATGGGGAGACTCACTGCCAGAGAGATTACCACCATCATAGCTACCATTAGATTACTGGTGGTCAGCAGCTTGTTCTGAGACCTCAGGTTCTCTTCTGCAATGTGAGCTAGTCTCTTCATCTGCCCTCAGGTCGGTGGAGTTACTTGGCGAGTTTTACTGGTTTTCATCTGCTCAACAGAGATGTTCATCTGAGCCATCTGATGAACTGAGGGTGCAGGGATGTTCTTAGGTCTTTTCCTCTTCCTTGGATTCTGGCTAACGCCACAGCTTAAGATGTCTTGTGGGTACCCAGACAGGAAGCTGATTCTCTTCTGGTGAGATACAAGGAAAACCCTCGACCTTATGTAATGGTTTTACCTTTTTCCAGGTTTTGGTTCTGACGTCCTTCCACCACACGTTTTCCTTCATGAGGATTTATTTTATGTCCTGTCAAATGCTGCTCTGCTGCTGTTGTAACCTGATCTCTAGACAAATTCAAAAAATTGGAAGTGATAAGAGCCAATCTTGGCTGCATTCTGGAGTAGAATATTCTCTGGTTCCCCCCCTCTGCCTTTTGTTTTTGTAATTGAGATTTTAAGGTTCAATTTGCCCATTCCACAATGACTTGGCCATGAGAATTATAGGGTATTCCAGTACTGTGCTCAATGTGCTATAGTTGAAGGAATGCTTGTAAAGGTTTACTACAGTAGCCTGGGCCATTGTCTGTTTTAATATTTTGTGGGATGCCCATGCCTGGGAAACAGGAAAGTAAATGTCTTTTAATATGAGCAGCTGCCTCAACTGTTTGGCAAGTTGCCCATACAAAATGAGAAAATGTGTCTGTAGTAACATGGACGTATGAAAATTTCCCGAATGAAGGTATGTGGGTTACATCCACTTGCCACAACATATTGAAGGTTAATCCCCATGGGTTAGCATGAGTCCTTTCATGTGGCAGTTTTAGTACCTGGCACCAAAGGGAATGTTGTACAATGTCCTTTGCTGCCTCTAAGTAATGTGATATTTTTGTTTAAGTCCTGCTGCTTTAACATGTGTTTGGGAGTGAAAATCTTTGGCATTAGAAAGCACAGTGGAAACTAGTAAATCAGCTTGATCATTGGCCCTTACAAGGGGCCCAGGAAGATTAGTGTGTGCTCGAATGTGTTTAATATAGAATGGAAAATAGCAATCATGCACTGCCTTTTGTAAAGAAGAAAACAGCTGATAGAGTTGTTCATCCACAAGATATTTAATGAATGCAATTTCTATGTATTGAGTACCTGAACAACATAAGCTGAATCGGAGACAATATTTACAGGTTGCTTAAAGTCTTCTAACACAGCTATAACTGTCTGTAATTCAGCCCTCTGTGCCAATTGAAAGTCAGTTTGAGTTATTCTGTTTTTAAGTCCTACATAAGCTGCTTTTCTATTTCTAGAGCCATCTGTAAACAGTTATTGCTCCTTCCAGTGGAGAACTATGGGTAATTTTTGGAAGGACCAATGTTAGCTTTAAAAACTGAAAAATTTTGATTTTGAATAATGATTGTCAAGAACTCCAATGAAGCCAGCTATATTTATTTGCCAGTTCACCGGATTAATAAGGGCTTGCTGCATCTGATTTTTATTCTTTGGAACTATAATCTTATCTGGATCTGAAAAACAAAGTTTAACAACTCTAAGGCCAGCTTGCCCTTTCAAGATTGCCGTCTGATCCAAGTATACTGTGAGTGTTCTCACAGTATTGTGAGGCAGAAAAGACCATTCAACTAAGTCCTCATTCTCAACTATAACCCCTGTAGGAGAATGAAGAATAAGGAACACAATGAAGTGTAATGGCAAACCTGAGTCTATTCTATTAACCTGGGACTGTTGTATTTTTTCTTCAATCATTTGTAAGTCTTTGTCAGCCTCAGGAGTCAGTTCTCATTTACTATTGAACTCATGGTCTCATCTTTATATGGAGAACAGTTAATCTGTGAAGGGACATTTGGTAGCTTATTGAGGCCTCTGTGTAAAAACAGAATATTCCCAGATAAAAACTAGAAAGAAGCTGTCTCTGAAACTGCTTTGTGATGTGTTGGTTCATCTCACAGAGTTAAACTTTTAATTTGGCAGGCTGGAGAATCTGCGAAAGGACATTTGGGAGCCAATTGAGGCCTATGGCAAAAAAACGAATAACCCCAGATACAAACTGGAAAGAAGCTATCTGTGAAACTGCTTTGTGATGTGTGGATTTATCTCACGGTGTTACAACTTCTTTGATTCAGCAGGTTGGAAATACTCTTTTTGGAAGAACTGTGAAGAAACATTTGGGATCCAATTGAGGACTATGGGGAAAAACCAAATATTCCAGATAGAAAATGGAATGAAGCTATCTGTGAAACTCCTTTGTGATGTGTGGATTCATCTCACAGCTAAACCTTACTTTTGATTCGGCAGGTTAGAAACACACATTTTGCAGAATCTGTGAAACGACCTTTTGGAGCCCTTTGAAGCCTATAGAGCAAAACCCTATATCCTCTGATAAAAATGAGAAAGAAGCTATCTGTGAAACTGCTCTGTGATGTGTGAATTCACATCACATAGTTAAATTTTTCTCCCAATTTAGCAAATTGGAAACACTCTTTTTGGAATATCTACTAAGGGACATTTGGGAGCTTAGTGCAGCCTAGGGGAAAAACAGAATATTCCCAGAAAAAAACTAGAAGGAAGCTCTCTCTGAAACTGCTTTGTGATGTGTTAATTCTTCTCACATAGAGTTAAACCTTTATTTTGAATCAGTTGGCTGGAAACACTCATTTTGGAGAATCTGCAAAGGGACATTTGGAAGCTCATTGAGGACTATGGGGAAAATTCAAACATCCTCAGATAAAAACCAGATAGAAGCAATGTGTGAAACTGCTTTGTGATGTTTGGATTAATCCCACAGAGTTAAAAGCTTCTTTCAATTCAGTAGGCTGGAAATACTCTTTTTCCAGTATCTGCAAAGGGACATTTAAGAGCTCACTGAGGCCTATGGGGAAAAACTGAACATCCATCCCCAGATAAAAACAAGAAAGAATATATGTGTCAAACTTCTTTGTGACGTGTGGATTCATCTCACAGGGTTAAACCTTCCTTTTGATTCAGCAGGTTTGAAACACTCTTTTTGTAGAACCTGTGAAGGTACATTTGGGAGCCCATTCAGACCTAAGGGGAAAAACTGAATATCCCCAGAGACAAAGTAGAAATAATCTATCTCTGAAAATCCTTTGTGATGTGGATTCATCTCACCTAGTTAAATGATTCTTTGGGTTCAGCAGGTTAAAAACCCTCTTTTTGGAGATCTTGTGAAGGGATATTTGGGAAACCATTGAGGACTATGTGGAAAAACAAATATTCCCAAGTAAACACTCTGAAGATGCTATCTGTGAAACTGCTTTTTGATGTGCAGATTCATCTAAAAGAGTTAAAAGTTTCTTTTGATTCAGTAAATTGGAAACACTCCTATTGGAGAATCTGTGAAGGAGACATTTGTGAGTGCATTGAGGCCTATGGGGCAAAACCGGATATCCCCAGAAAAAAATTAGAAGGAAGCTATCTGTGAAACTGCTTTGTGATGTGCAGATGCATCTCACAGATTTAAACCTCTCTTTTGATTCAGGAGGTTAGAAACACTCTTTTTGAAGCATCTGTGAAGGGACATTTTGAAGCCCATTGAGGCCTATGGGGAAAAACTTAATATCCCCAGATAAAAACTTGAAAGAACCTATTTGTGAAACTGCTTTCTGTTGTGTGGATTCATTTCACAGAGTGAAACCTTTCCCTTGTTTTAGCAAGTTGGAAACCTTCTTTTTGGGATATATGCGAAGGGACAATTGGGAGCACATTGAGGCCTATGGAGAAAAACAGAACATCTGCAAATAAAAACTAGAATGAAGCTATCTGTGAAACTCCTTTGAGATGTTTAGATTCATCCCACAAATTTAAAACTTTATTTTTTAATTCAGGAGTTTGGAAGCACTCTTTGTGAATCTGCAAAGGGACATTTTAGAGCCCATTGATGCCTAGGGATAAAAACCAAATATCCCCAGATAATAGCTAGAAAGAAGCTATCTGTGAAACTACTATGTGATGTGTGGGTACATCTCACAGAATTAAAATTTTATTTTTATTCAGGAGGGTGGTAACATTCTATTTAGAGAATATGTGATGGGATATTTGGGAGCTTATTGAGATCTATGGGATAAAACAGAATATTCCCAGATAAAAATTGGAAAGAAGCTATCTCTCAAATTGCTTTGTGTTGTGTTAATTCACCTCAGAGAGATAAACCTTTCTTTTGATTCAGCATGTTGGAAACACCCTTTTTGCAGAATCTGTGGAGGGATATGTGGGAGCCCAATGAGACCTATGGATAAAAACTGAATATCCTCAGATAAAACTAGAAAGAAGCTATCTGTAAAACTGCTTTGTGATGTGTATTCATCTCACAGAGTTAAAACTTTCTTTTTATTCAGCAGGTTGGAAGCACTCCTTTTGGATAATCTGTGAAGGGACATTTGGGAGCTTATTGAGGCCTATGGGTAATAACAGAATATTGCCAGATATAAAATAGAAAGTCGCAATCTCTGAAACTACTATGTGATGTGTGGATTCATTTCACAGAGTTTAACCTTTGCTTTGATTCAGCAGCTTGAAAGCACTCTTTTTGGGAATCTGAGAAATGACATTTCGGAGCCTGCTGAGGTCTATGGGGAAAACAAAATATTCTCAGATAGAAACTAGAAAGAAGCTGTCTGTGAAACTGCTTTGTCATGTGTGCATTCATCTCACAGAGTTAAACCTTTCTGTTGATTCAGCAGGTTTAGAAACACTCTTGTTGGAGAATTTGTGAAGGGATATTAGGGAGCCCATTGAGGCTTATGGGCGAAAACAGAATATCCCCTGATAAAAAACTAGAAAGAAGCTATAAGTGAAACAGCTTTGTTATGTGTGGATTCATCTCAAAGAGGTAAACTTTTCTTTTGATCCAGCAGGTTGGAAACACTGTTTTTGGAGGACCTATGAAGGGACATGTGGGAGCCCTGTGAGGTCTATGGGGAAAAACTGAATATCCCCAGATAAACAGTACAAATAAGCTCTCTGTGAAGCTGCTTTTTGGTGTGTGGATTCATCTCACAGAATTTAACATTTCCTTCAATTCAGCAGGTTGAAAATCCTATTTTTGGGTTGTCTGTGAAAAGACAGTTGGGAGCACATTGAGGCCTATGGAGAACACTGAATATTTCCAGATAACAACTAGAAAGAAGCTATCTGTGAAACTGCTTTGAGATGTGTAGATTGATCTCACAGAGTTAAGCCATTTTTTGATTCAGCAGGTTGCAACACTGTTTTTCAAGAATCTGTGAAGGAACATTTGGGAGCTTATTGAGGCCTATGGGGAAAAACCTAATATTCCTAGATAATAACTAGAAACAAGCGATCTGTGAAACTGATTTGTGATGTGTGGATACAGCTCACAGAATTCTCCCTTTCTTTTGATTCAGCAGGGTGGTAACACTCTTTTAGGAGAACATGCAAAGGGACATTTAGGAGCATATTGAGACCTATGTGTCAAAACAGAATATTCCTAGATAATAACTATAAAGAATCTATCTCTGAAACTGCTTTGTGATGTGTTGGTTCATGTCACAGAGTTAAACCTTACTTTTAATTCAGCAAGTTTGAAATACTCTTTTTGGAGAATCTGTGAAGAGACATCTGGGAGTCCATTTAGGCCTATGGAAAAAAACTGAATAACCCCAGATACAAACTGGAAAGAACCTATCGTTGAAACTGCTTTGTGATGTGTCGATGCATCTCACAGAGTTAAAGCTTTTTTGATTCAGCAGGTTGGAAACACTCTTTTTGGAGAAACTGTGAAGGGAGATATGGGAGCCACTGAGGACTATGGGGAAAAAACAAATATTCCCAGATAGAAACCGGAAAGAAGCAATTTGTGAAACTGCTTTGTGGCATATGGATTCACTTCACAGAGTAAAACTTTCTTTTGATTCATAAGTTGGAAATACTCTTTACGTAGAATCTGTGAAGGGTCATTTAGGAGCCCTTTGAGGACTACGGGGCAAAACCAAATATTTTCAAAGAAAAACTAGAAAGAAGCAATCTGTGAAATTGCTTTGTGCTGTGTGGATTCATCTCACAGCTAAACCTTACTTTTGATTCAGCAGGTTGGAAAAACTCTTTTTGCAGAATCTGAGAAACGACATTTTGGAGCTCATTGAAACCTATCAGGCAAAACTGTATATCCCCAGATAAAAACGAGAAAGAAGTCATCTGTGAAACTGTTTTTTGTTGTGTGGATTTATGTCACATAGTTAAATTTTTATCTTGATTTGGCAAATTGGAAACATTCTTTTTGGAGTATCTGCGAAAGGACATTTGGGAACTTAGTGAGGCCTATGGGGAAAAACCGAATATTCCCAGCAAAAAACTAGAAACAAGCTCTCTCTGAAACTGCTTTGTGATGTGTTTATTCATCTCACAGAGTTAAAACTTTCTTTTGATTCAGTAGGTTGGAAACACTCTTTTTGGAGAATCTGTGAAGGGACATTTTGAAGCTTATTGAGGCCTATGCAGGAAAATTGATTGTTCCCAGATAAAAGCTGGAAAGAAGCTGTCTGTCAAACTGCTTTGTGAAGTGTGGATTCATCTGACACAGTTAAAACTTTATTTTGTTTCAGTAGGTGAGAATGGTCTTTTTGTAGAATCTATGAGATAGAACATTGAAGAGCCCATTGATGCCTACTGGGAAAAAATGAATATTTCCAGATAATAATTAGACAGAAGCTATCTGTTAAACACCTTTGCATTATGTGAACTTGTCTCACAGAATTAAGGCTTTCTTTTGATACAACAGCTTGGAAACTCTCTTTTTGGAGAATCTGCCAAAGGACATTTGGGAGCCCATTGAGGCAAATAGGGCAAAAACAAATATCCCCAGATAAAAACTAGAAAGAAGCTCTCTGTGAAACTGCTTTGTAATCTGTGGATTTTTTGATTCATCCGGTTGGAAGCACTCTTTCTGGAAAATCTGTGAAGAGACATTTTGGAGTCCTTTTATGTCTATGAAAATAAACTGAACATCCCCAGATAGAAACTACAAAGATGTTGTCTGTGAAACTGCTTTGTGATGTGTGGATTCATCTGGTAGAATTAAAAACTTATTTTGATTCAGCAGGTTGGAAGCTCTATTTTGTAGCATCTGTGAAGGTACATTTGTGAGCTCATTGAGGCCCATAGTGATAAACTGAATGTCCCCACATATAAACTAGAAAAAAGCCATCCGTGAAACTCCTTTGTTATGTGTGGATTCATCTCAAAGAGTTAAGAATTTCTTTTGATTCAGCATGTTGGAAACACTCTTCTTGGAGAATCAGTGAAGGGGCATTTTGCAACCTATTGCAATCTATTGGGAAATACAGAATATTTCCAGATAAAACTAGAAAGAGGGTATGTGTGAAACTGCTTTGTGATGTGTGGATTCATCTCACAGACTTATACTTTTGATTCAGTGGGTTGAAAACACTCTTTTTGGAGTATCTGCAAAAAGACATTTGGGAGTCTATTGAGGCCTATTGAAAAAAAGAATATCTTCAAGATAAAAACTAGAAAGAAGCTATCTGTGAAACTGCTTTGTGATGTACGGATTTATCTCACAGAATTAAACCGTTCTTTACATCCAGTAGGTTGTAATCTATTGTGGGATATCAGGGACCCCAAATGGAGGGACCAGCTTAAGCCATGACAGAAGAACACAAATTGTGAAGATTTCATGTACATTTATTAGTTCCCCAAATTAATACTTTTATAGTATCTTATGCCTGTCTTTACTGCAATCTCTGAACATAAATTGTGAAGATTTCATGGACATTCATCACTTCCCCAGTCAATACTCTTGTGATTTCCTAGGCCTATCTTTATTTTAATCTCTTAATCCCATCATCTTCATAAGCTGAGGCTGTATGGCACCTCAGGACCCTGTGATGGTTGCATTAACTGCACAAATTGTTTGTAGAGCATGTGTGTTTGAACAATATGAAACCTGAGCACCTTAAGAACAGGAAAATAGCGATTTTCAGGGAACAAGGGAGATAATTTTAAAGTCTGGCTCTCTGGGGCTGGGCAGGAGAGAGCCATATTTCTCTTATTACCAAAAATGGGGAAGAGAAGTTATCGCTGAATTCTTTCCCCAGTAAGGAATATTGATAATTAACAGCCCTGGGAAAAGAATGCATTCCCAGGGGAGGCCTCTGAAATGGCCACCCTGAGAGTGTCTGCTTTATGCAGATGTAGATAGAAGTGAAACATGCCCTAGTCTCCTGCAGCACTCCCCAGCTTGCTAGGATTAGGAAATTCCAGCCTGGCAATTTCTAGTCAGACTGATTATCTGCTCTTGAACCCTAACAATGCATGCACAGTGGGACATGGAATTTCATTAGTGATTCTAGTTTCACCCTGACCTTGTGATCTCTCCCTGACCTCCTGCCTTGTGATCTTTTGTCACCCTTGAAGCGTGTGATCTCTGTGACCCACACCCTATTCTTGCACTCCCTCCCCTTTGAAAATTGCTAATAAAAACTTGCTGGTTTTATGGCCCAGGGGGCATCACGGAACCTGCTGACATGTGATGTCTTTCTCGGACACCCAGCTTTAAAATTTCTCTCTTTTGTGCTCTTTCCCTTTATTTCTCAGATCAGCTGACATGGGAAATAGAAAAGAACCCACGTGAAATATTGGGGGCTGAATTTCCCACTATATCTGGCACCCACATGGTCTTTCTTTTGTCCTAAGTGCATGTGGGAACCCGATTCCCTTTGGCAGGTGCACAGAAACGTCATCAGTTTGGTCCATAGATAAGCATGCTCAACTCCCTGATGACTGGTGAGTAGTCTTTGTGTGGTCTGGGTTAACTATGGGTCACACTGAGTATGAAAATTATACTTATCTCTTCTATATTAAAGTCCAGTTAAAACAGAAAAGGATTCGAGTGCCCATGGAAAATATGGTCACTCTGCTCAGGGCAGTGGTAAAATTCTGTCCTTGGATTCCTGAAAAATGAACCTTAGATGTAGACCTGTTAAAACAGGGAAGGGTCTGAGTAACCATGGAAAATATGGTCACTCGATTCAGGGTGGTGGAAAAATACTGTCCTTTGTTTCCTGAAAAAGGAACCATGCATGTAAAATAAAGTATGGGATTGTGTTGGTGCAACATTCTGGAAACTGGTCTTGACAGGAAATTATGTTCCCATCACTGTTTGGGCCTTGGTATGTGCTGTCCTAATACTTCCTCAACTTTCCTCTCCTGCAGGGCCTTCATTATCTGATCAGCCTCTCCCTTCAGCTACTCCTCCCCCACCTAACAATGCTGAAAATTCAATATCTAACTCCAGTGACTTTGGCTTAATGTTATCACCTATGTATCTTCTTTTCACGAAGAGCTTGTACTTGAAGCTCCCACAACTCACACAGCCCAGGACCATTGATATGCTAATTTTTCTCTCTTCAAACCTCTGGCATCAGCTAATGGCTCCAGGTCCAAACTACAATTTACCTATAATCCTCCAGGCCCTGCCCCATCCAGTGCAGCCCCTCACCCTCCTGTGGTTTCGGTTCCTCAACTGGTTTGCATCATTATGTACCTCTCAATCTTACCTTTTTAAAAGAATTTATGGATGCTTGTACTCAGTATGGTCCTACTACCCCTTTTGTTAAAATGGTATTACACACTTTTTGTATTGAGGTCATTTTGCTTCCTTTAGACTAGGACCTTTTGGCAAAAACTGATCTAACTCCATCTCAGCCTGGTAGACAGAGGAGATACATCTCTAGGCTCAGCTAAATCAGACTAATGGCATTCTAACTACTCAGGCTCAGCTCACAGGCTCTGATAGTTTCTCTGATACTTATGCCCAATTAGGCTTTGATGCTCTTAACACAAAACAAGTAACAAAGTTGTGTATGAGAGCTTGGGATAAATTACATGCCCCAGGCCAAGCTCTTGTTTCTTTTACTACTGTTAAACAAGCTCAATTGCTTTTACTACCTAATATTGTTTTAAACAAAGGAGATAAGGCACGTGGCCCTAGGATGGGCTCTGTCAGTGAAAAGGCAGTTTATTGGGTTAATATAATTTCTAAACAACGACCCACCTACACTATACACATTCAAGGAAAAAGTTTTGAGGGCCTAGTAGATACTGTGGCTGAAATTAATATTGCACATAATTCTTATAGTGTTCTCAGTTAACATATGATGGAAAACATGGATTTGTTCCTGGGCTCAGTCTCAGTCCAAAGCATGAAGGGATTACTAAACCCCTCCCAATTACTGTAAAATAAGACAGTAATGGTTTAGTTTATCCTTTTTAGTGGCGGTCGCTGCCATGCCTCCTGATCCTATCCCTTTACAATGGAAATCTGACACACCCATTTGGATTAAGCAGCGGCTGCTTTCTAAAGAAAAACTGGCAGCTTTAACTCAATTGGTTTCTAAACCGCTACAACTTGGAAATGTGGAACCTTCTCTTTTCCCCTGGAATTCTCCTGTGTTTCCACTAGAAAAAAAAAATCAGTCAAGTGGCAGATGGTAACCAATTTAAGGGCTATTAACGTTATAATTAAGCCTATGGGACCCATCAAACCCAGTATGCCTTCCCCTGCTTTAATATCTAAAATTGGCCTCTCATAGTTATTGATCTTAAAGATTTTTTTCATATTGTTTTACATAAATCAGATTGTGAAAAATTTGCTTTTACTGTACCATCTATCAATAATCTGGAGCCTGCAGCTCATTGTCAATGGAAAGTACTTCCTCAGGGAATGCAAAATAGCCCTACAATCTGCCAGCTTTATGTTGGACAAGTGCTTTCACCAGTTCAAGCCCAATTTACTGAGGCCTATATTCTTCATTATATTGATGATATTTTAATTACTGCCCCCACTGATAAAGAATTAATTGACTGTTATCAAATTTTGAGCCCCCGTGTTACAGAGGCTGGATTACACTCCCTCAGGATAAAATTCAACAGACCACTCCTGTTCCATATTTAGAAATGGTGGTCAATAAACAATGTATTCAACCTCAAAAAGTCCAAATTAGGACAGATTCTTTGAAAACTTTAAACAACGTCCAAAAAATTTTGGGTAACATTAATTATTTAAGACCTATGGACTAGCTTATTTCTACCTCTTATACTTCTGCTCAAAAGGCAGAGTTAATTCCTGTAATTACTGCCTTACAGGATTTCCCCAAACCCTTAAATATTGTCTCTGATTCTACTTAAAGTGGGAAAGAGGATATGCTTTTGTTTCACCAGGAGATCATCAAACAAAAACCACAGATAAAAGACATCCATGTCAAAGGTTGCCCTCAGAAGTGGTGAGATCTGTGCCAACTCCTTAGAAGGTGGTACACCAAATCACAATAGGTCTGATTCAATCCTCCCTGATGGCAATGAAGACCCATCTATCTGATCCCACTTCTCCTGATTACCTTTCTTTTTCTCCTTACAAACCTAGAAATCTCACCATTTCTATTAGCCTGAACATAACATCCCTCTGCTCTTCTGTTCCTCCTTTAGCACTCAATCTCACTAAAATGGGTTTTATTTAATGGTTCTCCAACTAAAACTTTCTGTTTCTCCAGTTTCCTCTTACACTGATTTACCTGCTACACAATATTACTCTTATTGTGCTTAGGTGCCTTTTCATCCACTTATTCAACCTCTCACCTGGATACATGCTCCTGCAGAAATCTATACTAACGATAGTGTGTGGATGCCTGGAGCTAGAGATGACCATTGCCCTGTTCAACCAGGACAGGAAGACGCTGCATTTAATGTACCATGGGTTATAAATACCCCCCTCTGTGCTTTGGACATGCTTCTGGTTGTATCCATCTAGAAACTCAAGTCTAGACTGCTTATCTTGTGGAGAGATCAGCTACAGAAGAACTGGGACATTTGGTCTTTAGCCTCTCCCTTTCTCCTTTAAGACAAATGAAAGGGGGAGTAATGGGAGATATCCCATACTTTCAATATAAACCTGCAGGAAAACCCTGCCCTAAAAATTTTGAGGGCCCATCTAAAACTTTAATTTGGGAAGATTGTGTTAACTCACATGTGATAATATTAAAAATGATTCACAAGGTTTAGTAATAGACTGGGCACCAAAGGGCTATTTAAAAAACAATTGCTTCTCTGGTGGAAAGGAAGGCCTGGAGGCTACTTATTTTATTTCTTATCAGGAGAACGAGAATCATCATTCAACTTTGCGTAGGAGGTTCAGCTCATTCTTTCCCTTAAAATGGGAAGATAAAAGCATTACCCCCCCGAGGACTCGTATGATACTCGCCATTCTGAGCCCAGAACTTTGGAAATTGGCTATTGCCATGTCGGGACTGTAAGTATGGGAAGGGAAAACTATTGTGTCTGTTGTCCCCACTACCGTCCCCCTCTCCCAGTATCAATGTAGATTCAGACTTTCTGCTTTACTTACCTCCAACCTGACTGTTCCCATAGAGAGTTGTGTTAAGCCTCCTTACATGATGTTAGTGGGAAATATCAAAATTTGGACAAACACTCAAATGGTCCAAAGCATTAATTGTCATTTACACTTGTATTAACTCCCATTTTGACTCCAAGAAAAGTGTAATGTTGGTTTGAGCTCAAGAAGGAATCTGGACTCCGGTAACTTTGCCCATACCTTGGGAATCCTACTCCTCGATACATTTAATTAATGAAGTCTTACAGCAAATTCTAAAAAGATCCAAGAGATTTGTTTTCACTTTAATGGCTGTGATCATGGGCCTAATTACAGTCACTGCACTGGCCACCACTGCTGGAATGGCGTTACATCAATCTATTCAAATGGCTCATTTTCTTAATGACTGGCAAGCAAATTCCACCCAAATGTGGAATTCTCAAAAAGGCATTGATCAAAAATTGTCTAATCAAATCAATGATTTCAGATGGTCTGTTATTTGACTTGGAGATTGGGTAGTGAGTCTCAAAAATCAGATGCAAAAGCAGTGTGATTGGAATACTTCAGATTACTGTATCACCCCATATTCCTATAATGAGACTGATCATTCATGAGAAATGGTCAAAGACACCTTCTGGGTTGGGAAGATAATTTATCATTGGACATAACTAAATTAAAGAAATAAATTTTTGAAACCTCTCAAGCTCGCTTATCCATTTTGCCTGGAGATAAGGTGTTAGATCAGGTGGTAGAAAATCTTGATGGATTAAACCCCATGACTTGGATTAAGTCTATTGGGGGCTCCACTGTAGTAAATTTAGGAATTATGTTTCTCTGTTTAATTGGCTTGTTTTTAGTGGGTTGGACCAGTCAAAGAATCCTGTGTCAAAATCGAGAAAATGAACAAGCCTTCATTGCCATGGCACAATTATATAAAAAGAAAGGGAGAAATGTTGCAGGAAGTCAGGGACACCGAATGGAGGGACTGGCTGAAGCCATGGCAGAAAAACATAAATTGTGAAGATTTCATGGACATTTATTAGTTCCCCAAATTAATACTTTTATAATTTCTTAGGCCTGTCTTTACTGCAATCTCTGAACATAAATTGTGAAGATTTCATGGACATTTATCATCTCTCCAATCAATACTCTTGTGATTTCCTATGCCTGTCTTTACTTTAGTCTCTTAATCCCTTTATATTCGTATGCTGAAGATGTATGTTGCCTCAGGACCCTATGATGATTGTGCTAACTGCACAAACTGTTTGTAGAGCATGCGTTTTTGAACAATATGAAATCTGGGCACCTTAATAACAGGATAACAGTGATTTTCAGGAAACAAGGGAGATAACCTTAAAGTCTGGCTCCCTGTGGCCTTGGCAGTGCAGAGCCATATTTCTCTTATTACTGGAAACGGGTAAGAGAAGTTATCACTGAATTCTTTCCCCAGTAAGGAGGACTAATAATTAACAGCCCTGGGAAAAGAATGCATTTCCAGGGGAGGCCTCTGAAATGGCCACCCTGAGAGTTTCTGCCTTTATGCAGACGTAGATAGGGATGAAAGATGCCCTAGTCTCCTGCAGCACCTCCAGGCTTGCTAGGATTAGGAAATTCCAGCCTGGCAATTTCTAGTCAGACCAGTTCTCTGCTCTTGAATCCTGACAATGTGTGCACAGCAGGACATTGAAGTTCATTAGTGATTCTAGATTCACCCTGACCTTATGATCTTGAACTGACCTCCTGCCTTGTGATCTTTTGTCACCCTTGAAGCATGTGATCTCTGTGACCCACACCCTATTCTTGCACTCCTTCCCCTTTGAAAATTCCTAATAAAAACTTGCTGGTTTTATGGCTCAGGGGGCATCACAGAACCTGCTGACATGTGATGTCTTCCTCGGACACCCAGATTTAAAATTTCTCCCTTTTGTACTCTTTCCCTTTATTTCTCAGACCAGCTGACACTTAGGGAAACAGAAAAGAACCCACGTGAAATATCAGGGGCTGAAAGTCCCCCAAAAGTAATCACTGCGTACGATCTGTGAAGGGACATTTTGCAGATCTGTGGATTCATCTCACAGAGTTCAAACTTTTTTTGATTCAGCAGTTTGGAAGCACTCTTTCTGGAAAATCTGTGAGATGACATTTTGGAATCCATTGAAGACTATAGGAAAAACAGCATATCCCCAGTTAAAAGCTACAAAGAAGCTATCTGTGAAACTTCTTTGTGATGTGTGGATTCATCTCACAAGGTAAGCCTTTCTTTTGTTTCAGCATGTTGGAAACACTTTTTTTTGTAGAAACTTCAAAGGGACATTGGGGAGATTTTTGAAACTTATTGGGAAAAAATTAATACTTCCAGATAAAAACTAGAAAGAAGCTATCTGTGAAATGGCTTTGTGATTTGTTGATTCATCTCACAGAGTTAAGCCTTTATTTTCATGCAACAGGTAGGAAACACTCTTTTCAAAGGAACTGTGAAGGGATAATTGGGAGCCCAATGAGTCCTATAGGAAAAAAAAAGAATATCCCAAGATAAGTAAAAAGAAGTTATCTGTGAAACTGCTGTGTGATGTGTGGATTAACCTCACAGAGTTAAAACTTTCTTCTGATTCAGCAGGTTAAAAACCCTCTTTTTGGAGAATATGCAAAGGGATATTTGGGAGCCTATTGTGGCCAAAGTAGAAAAAATGAAAATTCCCATACAAAAACTTGAAATAAGTTCTCTGTGAAACTGCTTTGTGATGTGTGGATTCATCTTACACAGTTAAACCTTTCTTTTTAATCTGCAGATTGGAAACACTTTATTTGGAAAAGCTACTAATGAATATTAGGAAGCCCACTGAGGTTAGGGGGAAAAACCAATAACCCACAGATAGATAAAAACTATGAAGAAGCTATCTGTGAAACTTCTTTTTGATATGTGGATTCATCTCACAGAGGTAAATTTTTCTTTTGATTTAGCAGTTTGGAAACACTCTTTTTGTAGAATTTGCAAAGGGACATTTGGGAGCCAATTGAAGCCTATTGGGAAAAAAATGAATATCCCCAGATAAAAATGATAAAGAAGGTATCTGTGAAACTGCTTTTTGATATGTAAATACATCTTGCTTAAACCTTTCTTTTCATACAACAGGTTGGAAACGCTCTAAATGTTGAATCTGCAAAGAAACATTTGGGACTCCATTGAGGTCTATGGGGAAAAACCGAATATGCCCAATTAAAAACTAGAAAGAAGCTATCTGTGAAGTTGCGTTTTGATGTGTGGATTCATGTCCAAGAGGTAAACCTATGATTCAGCAGGTTGGAAACACTCTCTTTGGAGCACATGCAAAGGACATTTGAAATCCTATTGAGGCCTATGGGTAAAAACTGAATATCCTCAGATAAAAACTAGAAAGAATCTATCTGTGAAACTGCTTTGTGATATGTGGATTCATCTCACAGAGTTAAACTTTTTGTCTTAGTTTAAAGGTTGGAAACACTCTTTTTGGGGGAATCTCTGAAGGGAAATTTGGGAGCCCATTGAGGCATATGGGAAAAATACAAAAATCTCCAGATAAAAGCTAGAAAGAAATTTTCTTAGAATCAGATTTGTGACGTGTGGATTCATCTAACAGAGTTACACCTTTCTTTTCATTAAGCAGGTTGAACACACTCTGTTTGGAGAATCTGTGAAGGGACAGTGGGGAGACCATTGAGGCCTCTCAGGGAAAACAGAATATGCCCAGAACAAAACAAGAAGGAAATAATCTGTGAAAGTGCTTTGTGAGGTGTGGAGTTATCTGAGAGAGTTAACCATTTCTTTTGATTCAGTAGGTTGGACACATTCTTTCTGGAGAATATATGAAGGGACATTTCAAAAAGCTCCCCAATATCCCTTCGCAGATTCTAGAGAAAAAGTGTTTCCAACATGCTGAATCAAAAAAGGCATAGCTTTGTGAGATGAATCCACAAATTACAGAACAGTTTTATGGATAGCTTCCTTCTAGTTTTTATCTGGGGATATTCCATTTATTTACAGAGGCCTCAATTGGCTCCCAAGTGTCTTTTCACAGATTCTCCAAAAAGAGTGTTTCCAACTTGCTGAATCAAAAGAAACTTTTAACTCTGTGAGATGAATCCACATATCACAAAGCAGTTACACTGGTACCTTCTTTGTAGTTTTTATCTGGGGATATTCAGTTTTCCTCATAGGTCCCAAAGGGCTATCAAATGTCCCTTCGTTTATATGGTTCTGTTTATATGCTGGATTATATTTATTGATTTGCTTATATTGAACCAGTCTTGCATCCCAGGGATGAAGCCCACTTGATCATGGTGGATAAGCTTTTTGATGTGCTGCTGGATTCGGTTTGCCAGTATTTTATTGAGGATTTTTGCATCAACATTCATCAAAGCTATTGGTCTAAAATTCTCTTTTTTGGTTGCGTCTCTGCCTGGCTTTGGTATCAGGATGATGCTGGCCTTATAAAATGAGTTAGAGAGGATTCCCTCTTTTTCTATTGATTGGAATAGTTTCAGAAGGAATGGTACCAGTTCCTCCTTGGGTGGAATTCGGCTGTGAATTCGTCTGGTCCTGGACTTTTTTTGGTTGGTAAGCTATTGATTATTGCCACAATTTCAGCTCCTGTTATTGGTCTATTCAGAGATTCAACTTCTTCCTGGTTTAGTCTTGGGAGAGTGTATGTGTCGAGGAATTTATCCATTTCTTCTAGATTTTCTAGTTTATTTGCGTAGAGGTGTTTGTAGTATTCTCTGATGGTAGTTTGTATTTCTGTGGGACCGGTGGTGATATCCCCTTTATCATTTTTTATTGCATCTATTTGATTCTTCTCTCTTTTTTTCTTTATTAGTCTTGCTAGCGGTCTATCAATTTTGTCGATCCTTTCAAAAAACCAGCTCCTGGATTCATTAATTTTTGAAGGGTTTTTTGTGTCTCTATTTCCTCCAGTTTTGCTCTGATTTTAGTTATTTCTTGCCTTCTGCTAGCTTTTCAATGTGTTTGCTCTTGCTTTTCTAGTTCTTTTAATTGTGATGTTAGGGTGTAAATTTTGGATCTTTCCTGCTTTCTCTTGTGGGCATTTAGTGCTATAAATTTCCCTCTACACACTGCTTTGAATGTGTATGTTGTGTCTTTGTTCTCGTTGGTTTCAATGAAAATCTTTATTTCTGCCTTCATTTTATCATGTACCCAGTAGTCATTCAGGAGCAGGTTGTTCAGTTTCCATGTAGTTGAGCAGTGTTGAGTGAGTTTCTTAATACTGAGTTCTAGTTTGATTACACTGTGGTCTGAGAGATAGTTTGTTATAATTTCTGTCCTTTTACATTTGCTGAGGAGAGCCTTACATCCAACTATGTGGTCAATTTTGGCATAGGTGTGGTGTGGTGCTGAAAAAAATGTATATTCTGTTGATTTGGGGTGGAGAGTTCGGTAGATGTCTATTAGGTCTGCTTGGTGCAGAGCTGAGTTCAATTCCTGGGTATCCTTGTTAACTTTCTGTCTCATTGATCTGTCTAAGGTTGACAGTGGGGTGTTAAAGTTTTCCATTATTATTGTGTAGGAGTCTAAGTCTCTTTGTAGGTCACTCCAGACTTGCTTTATGAATCTTGGTGCTCCTGTATTGGAGGCATATATATTTAGGATAGTTAGCTCTTCTTGTTGAGTTGATCCCTTTACCATTATGTAATGGCCTTCTTTGTCTCTTTTGATCTTTGTTGGTTTAAAGTCTGTTTTACCAGAGACTAGGATTGCAACCCCTGCCTTTTTTTGTTTTCCATTTGCTTGGTAGATCTTCCTCCATCCTTTTATTTTGAGCCTATGTGTGTCTCTGCATGTGAGATGGGTTTCCTGAATACAGCACACTGATGGGTCTTGACTCTTTATCCAATTTGCCAGTCTGTGTCTTTTAATTGGAGCATTTAGTCCATTTACATTTAAAGTTAATATCGTTTTGTGTGAATTTGATCCTGTCATTATGATGTTAGCTGGTTATTTTGCTCGTTAGTTCATGCAGTTTCTTCCTAGTCTCGATGGTCTTTACATTTTGGCATGATTTTGCAGCGGCTGGTACCGGTTGTTCCTTTCTATGTTTAGCACTTCCTTCAGGAGCTCTTTTAGGGCAGGCCTGGTGGTGACAAAATCTCTTGGCATTTGCTTGTCTGTAAAGTATTTTATTTCTCCTTCACTTATGAAGCTTAGTTTGGCTGGATATGAAATTCTGGGTTGAAAATTCTTTTCTTTAAGAATGTTGAATATTGGCCCCCACTCTCTTCTGGCTTGGAGAGTTTCTTCCCAGAGATCCCCTGTTAGTCTGATGGGCTTCCCTTTGTGGGTAACCCGACCTTTCTCTGTGGCTGCCCTTAACATTTTTTCCCTCATTTCAACTTTGGTGAATCTGACAATTATGTGTCTTGGAGTTGCTCTTCTCGAGGACTATCTCTGTGGTGTTCTCTGTATTTTCTGCATCGGAATGTTGGCCTGCCTTGCTAGATTGGGGAAGTTCTCCTGGATAATACCCTGCAGAGTGTTTTCTAACTTGGTTCCATTCTCCGAATCACTTTCAAGTACACCAATCAGACGTAGATTTGGTCTTTTCACATAGTCTCATAATTCTTGGAGGCTTTGTTCATTTCTTTTTATTCTTTTTTCTCTAAACTTTCTTTCTTGCTTCATTTCATTCATTTCATCTTCCACCGCTGATACCCTTTCTTCCAGTTGATCCTATTGGCTCCTGAGGCTTCTGCATTTTTCACGTAGTTCTCGAGCCTTGGCTTTCAGCTTCATCAGCTCCTTTAAGCACTTCTCTGTATTGGTTATTCTAGTTACACATTCGTCTAAATTTTCTTCAAAGTTTTTAACTTCTTTGACTTTGGTTAGAATTTCGTCCTGTAGCTCGTAGTTTGATCGTCTGAAGCCTTCTTCTCCCAACTTGTCAAAGTCATTCTCCGTCCAGCTTTGTTCCATTGCTGGTGAGGAACTGCATTCCTTTGGAGGAGGAGAGGTGCTCTGTTTTTAGAGTGACCAGTTTTTCTGCTCTGTTTTTTCCCCATCTTTGTGGATTTATCTACATTTGGTCTTTGATGATGGTGATGTACAGATGTATTTTTGGTGTGGATATCCTTTCTGTTTGTTAGTTTTCCTTCTAACAGACAGGACCCTCAGCTGCAGGTCTGCTGGAGTTTGTCTAAGAAACTTCTTTGTGATGTGTGCATTCAACTCACAGAGTTGAATCTTTCTTTGATAAAGCAGTTTTAAAACACTCTTTTTGTAGAATCTGCAAAAGGATATTTGGAGCACTTTGAGGCCTATGGTAGAAAAGAAAATATCCTCACATAAAAACTAGACAGAAGCATTCTCAGAAAGTTATTTGTGATGTGTTCATTCAACTCACAGAGTTGAACCTTCCTTTTCATAGAGCTTTTTTGAAACACCCTTTTTGTAGAATCTGCATGTTGATGTTTTTAATGCTTTGAGGTCTCTGGTGGAAAAGGAAATATCTTCACATAAAGAGTAGACAGACGCATTCTCAGAAACATCCTTGTGATGTGTGCATTCAACTCACAGAGTTGAACATTTCTTTTGATAGAGCAGTTTTGAAACAGTCTTTTTGTAGAATCTGCAAGAGGATGCTTGGAGCAATCGGGGGCATACGGTGGAAAAGGAAATATCTTCGCATAAAAACTAGACAGAAGCATTCTCAGAAACTTCTCTTTGATGTGTGCATTCAACTCACAGAGTTAAAACTTTCTTTTTGTAGAGCAGTTTTGAAACACTATTTTGTAGAACCTCCAAGTGGATATTTGGAGTGCTTTGAGGCCTATGGTGGAAAAGGAAATATCTTCACATAAAAAATAGACAGAAGCATTCTCAGAAACCTCTTTGTGATGTGTGCATTCAATTCACAGAGTTTAACCTTTCTTTTGATGGAGCAGTTTTAAAACGCTCTTTTTATAGAATCTGCAAGTGGATATTTGGAGCGCTTTGAGGCCTATGGTGGAAAAGGAAATATCCTCACGTAAAAACTAGACAGAATTATTCTCAGAAACTTCTTGGTGATGTGTGCATTCAACTCACAGAGTTGAACCTTACTTTTGATAGAGCGGTTTAGAAACACTCTTTTTGTAGCAACTGCAAGAGGATGATTGGAGCTTTTTGGATAAAAGGAAATATCTTCCCATAAAAACTAGACAGAAGCATTCTCAGAAACTTCTTTGTGATGTGTGCATTCAACTCACAGAGTTGAACCTTTCTTTTGATAGAGCAGTTTTGCAACACACTTTTTGTAGAATCTGCAAAAGGATATTTGGAGCACTTTGAGGCCTATGGTAGAAAAGAAAATATCCTCACATAAAAACTAGACAGAAGCATTCTCAGAAAGTTATTTGTGATGTGTGCATTCAACTCACAGAGTTGAACCTTCCTTTTCATAGAGCTTTTTTGAAACACCCTTTTTGTAGAATCTGCATGTTGATGTTTTTAATGCTTTGAGGTCTCTGGTGGAAAAGGAAATATCTTCACATAAAGAGTAGACAGACGCATTCTCAGAAACATCCTTGTGATGTGTGCATTCAACTCACAGAGTTGAACATTTCTTTTGATAGAGCAGTTTTGAAACAGTCTTTTTGTAGAATCTGCAAGAGGATGCTTGGAGCAATCGGGGGCATACGGTGGAAAAGGAAATATCTTCGCATAAAAACTAGACAGAAGCATTCTCAGAAACTTCTCTTTGATGTGTGCATTCAACTCACAGAGTTAAAACTTTCTTTTTGTAGAGCAGTTTTGAAACACTATTTTGTAGAACCTCCAAGTGGATATTTGGAGTGCTTTGAGGCCTATGGTGGAAAAGGAAATATCTTCACATAAAAAATAGACAGAAGCATTCTCAGAAACCTCTTTGTGATGTGTGCATTCAATTCACAGAGTTTAACCTTTCTTTTGATGGAGCAGTTTTAAAACGCTCTTTTTATAGAATCTGCAAGTGGATATTTGGAGTGCTTTGAGGCCTATGGTGGAAAAGGAAATATCCTCACGTAAAAACTAGACAGAATTATTCTCAGAAACTTCTTGGTGATGTGTGCATTCAACTCACAGAGTTGAACCTTACTTTTGATAGAGCGGTTTAGAAACACTCTTTTTGTAGCAACTGCAAGAGGATGATTGGAGCTTTTTGGATAAAAGGAAATATCTTCCCATAAAAACTAGACAGAAGCATTCTCAGAAACTTCTTTGTGATGTGTGCATTCAACTCACAGAGTTGAACCTTTCTTTTGATAGAGCAGTTTTGAAACACACTTTTTGTAGAATCTGCAAGTGGATACTTGGAGCACTTTGAGGCCTATGGTGGAAAAGTAAATATCCACACATAAAAACTTGACAGAAGCTTTCTCAGAAACTTCTTTGTGATGTGTGCATTGAACTCGCAGAGTTGAACGTTCCTTTTCATAGAGCAGTTCTGAAACATGCTTTTAGTAGAATCTGCAAGTGGATATTTGGAGTTATTTGTGGCCTATGGTGGAAAAGGAAATATCCTCACATAAAAACTGGACAGAAGCATTCTCAGAAACTTCTCTGTGATGTGTGCATCCAACTCACAGAGTTGAACGTTCCTTTTGATAGAGTGGTTTTGAAACACTCTTTTTTTAGAATCTGCAAGTGGATATTTGGAGACCTCTGAGGTCTATGGTGGAAAACGAAATATCTTCACATAAAATATAGACAGAAGCATTCTCAGAAACCTCTTTGTGATCCGTGCATTCAACTCACAGAGTTGAACCTTTCTTTGATTGAGCAGTTTTATCACACTCTTTTTGTAGAATCTGCAAGTTGATATTCGGAGCGCTATGAGGCCTATGTTGGAAAAGGAAATATCCTCACATAAAAACTAGACAGAAGCACTCTCAGAAACTTCTTTGTGATGTGGGCATTCAACTAACAAAGTTCAACCTTTCTTTTGATAGACAAGGTTTGAAACACTCTTTTTGAAGAATCTGCAATAGGATGTTTTTGGCGCTTTGAGACCTATTATGGAAAATTAAATATCTTCACATAAAATCTAGAAAGAAACATTCTCAGAAACTTCTTTGTGACGTTTGCATTCAACTCACAGAGTTGAACCTTCGTTTTGATAGAGCAGTTTTGAAACACTCTTTTTGTAGGATCTGCAAGTGGATATTTGAGCACTTTGTGTCCAATGTTGCAAAAGGAAATATCTTCAGAAATAAACTAGACAGAAGCATTCTCAGAAACTTCTTTGTGTTGAGTGCATTCAACTCAAACAAGTGAAACGTTCTTTTGAGAGGGCACTTTTGAAACAGTCTTTTTGTGGAATCTGCATGTGGATATTTGGAGTGCTTTGAGGCCTATGGTGGAAAAGGAAATATCCTAATATAAAAACTAGACAGAAGCATTCTCAGAAACTTCTTTGTGATGTGTGCACTAACTCACAGAGTTGAACGTTCCATTTGATACAGCAGCATTGCAACCCTGTTTTTGAAGAATCTGCAATGGGATGTTTTTAGCGCTTTGAGGCCTATGGTGGAAAAGGAAATATATTCACATAAAGCTAGACAAAAGCATTGTCAGAAACTTCTTTTTGATGTGTGCATTCAACTCACAGAGTTGAACCTTTCCTTTGACCGAGGAGTTTTGAAACACACTTTTTCTAGAATCTGAAAGAGGACATTTGGAGCACTTTAATGCCTAAGGTGGAAAAGGAAGTATCTTCACATAAAAACTTGACAGAAGTATTCTCAGAGACTTCTTTGTGATGTTTGCATTCAGTTCACAGAGTTGGCCTTCCTTTCGATAGAGCAGTTTTGAAACACTCCTTTTGTAGAATCTGCAAGTGGATTTTTGGAGCGTTTTGAGGCCTATGTTGGAAAAGAAAATATCCTCTCATAAAAGCTAGACAGAAACATTCTCAGAAACTACTCTGTGACGTGTGCATTCAACTCACAGAGTTGAATCTTTCTTTTGCTAGAATAGTTTTAAAACGCTTTTTTTGTAGAATCTACAAGTGTATATTTGGAGTGCTTTGAGGCCTTTGGTGGAAAAGGAAATATCCTCACATAAAAACTAGACAGAAGAATGCTCACAAACTTCTTTGTTATGAGTACATTCAACTCATAGAGTTGAACCTTCCTATTGATAGAGCAGTTTTGAAACACTCTTTATGTAGAATCTGCAACTGGATATTTGGAGCAATTTGAGGCCTATGGTGGAAAAGGAAATATGCTCAAGTAAAAACTAGAAAGAAGCATTCTCAGAAACTTCTTTGTGATATGTGCATTCAACTAATGGAGTTGAATCTTTCTTTTGATTGAGCAGTTTTGAAACACTCTTTTTGTAGAATCTGCAAGTGGATATTTGGAGCGCTTTGAGGACTATTGTGGAAAAAAATATCCTCACATAAAAAGTAGACAGAAGAATTCTCAGAAACTTATTTGTGATGTGTGCATTCTACTCATAGAGTTGAACCTTCCTTTTGATATAGCGCTTTTGAAACACTTTTTGTAGGATCTGCAAGTGGATATTTGGAGTGATTTGAGGTTTATGGTGGAAAAGGAAATATCCTCACATATAAAGTATACAGAGGGATTCTCAGAAACATCTTTCTGATGTGTACATTCATCTCACAGAGATGAGCCTTCCTTTTGATAGAGCAGTTTTGAAACACTCTTTTTGAAGAATCTACAAGTGGATATTTTGAGCCTTTCGAGGACAATGCTGGAAAAGTAAATATCCTCACATAAAAAGTAGACAGAGGAATTCTCAGAAACTTCTTTGGGATGTGTGCTTTCAACTCACTCAGTTGAACCTTCCTTTTGATAGAGGAGTTTTGAAACACTCTTTTTGTAGAATCTGCAAGTGGACATTTGGAGCGCTTTGAGGCCTATGGTGAAAAAGGAAATATCCTAAATTAAAAACTAGACAGAAGCGTTCCGAGAAACTTATTTGTGATGTGTGCATTCAACTCACAGAGTTGAACATACTTTTTTATAGAGCAGTTTTGAAACACTCTTTTTGTGGAATCTGCAAGTGGATATTTGGAGGACTTAGAGGCCTATGGAGGAAAAGGAAATATCTTCACATAAAAACTAGGTAGAAGCATTCTCAGAAACTTCTTTGCGATGAGTGCATTGAACCCTCAGAGTTGAACCTTTCTTTTGATAGAGCAGTTTTGAAACACTCTTTTTGCAGAATCTGCAAGTGGATATTAGGAGCGCTTTGAGGTATAAGGTGGAAAAGGAAATATGCTCACATAAAAACTAGACTGAAGTATTCTCAGTACCTTCTTTGTGGCGTTTGCATTCAACTCACAGAGTTGAACCTTCCTTTCGATAGAGCAGTTTTGAAACACTCTTATTGTAAAATCTGCAAGTGGATATTTTTATCTCTTTGAGGTCTATGGTGGAAAACAAAATATCCTCTCATAAAAACTAGTCAGAAGCATTCTCAGAAACATCTTTGTGATTTGTGAATTCAACTCACAGAGTTGAACCTTCCTTTTGATAGAGCAGTTTTGAAATACTCTTTTTTGTACAATTTTTAATTGGACATTTGGAGCGCTTTAAGCCAATGGTGGAATAGGAAATATCTTCACATAAAAACTAGACAGAAGCATTCTCAGAAACTTCTTTGTGATGCGTACATTCAACTCACAGAGTTGAAATTTTCTTTCAATAGAGCACTTTTGAAACACTCTTTTTCTAGAATCTGCAAGTAGATATTTGGAGAGCTTTGAGGCCTAGGATTGAAAAGGAAGTATATTCACATAAAAAGTAAACAGAAGCATTCTCAGAAACTTCTTTGTGATGAGTGCATTCCACTCTCAGAGTTGATCCTTTCTTTTGATAGAGCAGTTTTGAAACACTCTTTTTGTAGATTCTGCAAGTAGATATTTGGAGTGCTTTGAGGCCTAGGATTGGAAAGGAAGTATATTCACATAAAAACTAGACAGAAGCATTCTCAGAAACTTCTTTATGTTGTGTATATTCTACTCACAGAGCTGTACTTCCCTAAGTTTGAGCAGTTTTGAAACACTCTGTTTGTAGAATCTGCAAGTGGATATTTGGAGAGCTTGGAGGCCTGTGGTGGAAAAGGAAATATCTTCACATAAAAACTAGACAGAAACATTTTCAGAAACTTTCTTGTGATGAGTGCATTCAACAAACAGAGTTGAACCTTTCTTTTGATAGAACAGTTTTGTAACACTCTTTTTGTGGAATCTGCATCTGCATATTTGGAGCGCATTGAGGCCTTTGGTGGAAAAGGATGTGCCCTCAACATTAAAAACCAGACAAAAGCATTCTCAAAAACTTCTTTGTGTTGTGTGCATTCCACTCACAGAGTTGATCCTTTCCTTTGATTGAGCAGTTTTGAAACACGCTTTTTGTAGAATCTGCAAGTGGATATTTGGAGTGCTGTGAGGCCTATCATGGAAAAGGAATATCTTCACATAAAAACAAGACAGAAGCATTCTCATAAACTTCTTTGTGATGTGTGCATTCAAGACACAGAGTTGAAACTTTCTTTTGATACAGCAGCTTTGAAACACTCTTTTTGTAGAATCTCCTAATGCATATTTTGATCCCTGTGAGGCCTTATTTGGAAACGGGAATATCTTCACATAAAAAGGAGAGAGAAGCATTCTCAGAAACTTCTCTGTGTTTTTTGCATTCAACTCACAGAGTTGAAACTTTCCTTTGATTGAGCAGCTTTGAAACAATCTTTTTGTAGAATCTGCAAGTGGATATTTGGAACACTTTGAGGCCTATGGTGGAAAAGGAAATATCTTCACATAAAAACTAGACAGAAGCATTCTCAGAAACTTCTTTGTGATGTGGGCATTAAATGCACAGAGTTGAAATTTTATTTTGATACAGTTGCAACATCTGCAAGTGGATATTTGGAGCGCTTTTAGGCCTATGGTGGAAAAGGAAATATCTTCACATAAAAACTAAACAAACAGAGTCATTCTCAGAAACTTCTTTGTGATGTGTGCATTCAACTCACAGGTTTGAACTTCTCTTCTGATAGAGCAGTTTTGAAACACTCTTTTTGAAGAATCTACAAGTGGATATTTGGGATGATTGGCAGCTTATGGTGTAAAAGTAAATATCTTCACATAAAAATTAGATAGAAACATTCTCAAAAACTTCTTTGTGTTGTGTGCACTCAACTCACAGAGTTGAACTTTTCTTTAGATAGATCAGTTTTGAAACAGTCTTTTTGTAGAATCTGCAAGTGGATATTTGGAGGGCTTTGAGGCCTATGATGGAAAAAGAAATATTCTCACATACAAACTAGAAAGAAGCATTCTCAGAAACTTCTTTGTGATGTGTACATTCAACTGAGACAGTTAAACCTTTCTTTTGAAAGAGCAGTTTTGAAACACTGTTTTTATAGAATCTGCAAGTGGAATTTTGGAGTGCTTTGAAACTTTGGTGGAAAAGGAAATATCTTCACATGAAAACTAGACAGAAGCATTCTCAGAAGCTTCTTTGTGATGTGTGCATTCATGTCACAGAGATTAAACTTCCTTTTGACAGAGCAGTTTTGAAACACTCTTATTTTTTTTCTTTTTTCTTTTCTTTTTTTTTTTAATTTATTTATTTATTTATTTATTTATTTTTATTATTATACTTTAAGTTTTAGGGTACATGTGCACATTGTGCAGGTTAGTTACATACGTATACATGTGCCATGCTGGTGTGCTGCACCCATCAACTCGTCATCCAGCATTAGGTATATCTCCCAATGCTATCCCTCCCCCCTCCCCCCACCCCACCACAGTCCCCAGAGTGTGATGTTCCCCTTTCTGTGTCCATGTGATCTCATTGTTCAATTCCCACCTATGAGTGAGAATATGCGGTGTTTGGTTTTTTGTTCTTGCGATAGTTTACTGAGAATGATGGTTTCCAATTTCATCCATGTCCCTACAAAGGACATGAACTCATCATTTTTTATGGCTGCATAGTATTCCATGGTGTATATGTGCCACATTTTCTTAATCTAGTCTATCATTTTTGGACATTTGGGTTATGAACAGACACTTCTCAAAAGAAGACATTTATGCAGCCAAAAAACACATGAAAAAATGCTCACCATCACTGGCCATCAGAGAAATGCAAATCAAAAGTACAATGAGATACCATCTCACACCAGTTAGAATGGCAATCATTAAAATGTCAGGAAACAATAGGTGCTGGAGAGGATGTGGAGAAATAGGAACACTTTTACACTGTTGGTGGGACTGTAAACTAGTTCAACCATTGTGGAAGTCAGTGTGGCGATTCCTCAGGGATCTAGAACTAGAAATACCATTTGACTCAGCCATTCCATTACTGGGTATATACCCAAAGGACTATAAATCATGCTGCTATAAAGACACATGCACACGTATGTTTATTGCGGCATTATTCACAATAGCAAAGACTTGGAACCAACCCAAATGAAACAATCTTTTTGTAGAATCTGCAACTGGATATTTGTTTCCTTTGAGGCCTATGTTGAAAAAGGAAATATCTTCACATAAATGCTACACAAAAGCATTCTCTGAAACGTCCCTGTGATGTGTGCATTCAACTCACAGACTTGAACCTTTCTTTTCATAGTGCAGTTTTGAAACACTAGTTTTGTAGAATCTTCAGGTGGATAATTGGAGAGCTTTGAGGCCAATAGTTGAAAAGGAAATATCTTCATAGAAAAACTAGACAGACGCATTCTCAGAAACTTCTTTGTGATTTGTGCATTCAACTCACAGAATTGAAACTTTCTTTTGATATAGCAGTTTTGAAACACTCTTTTTGTAGAAACTGCAAGGGGATATTTGGAGTGCTTTGTGGCATATGGTGGAAAAGGAAATATCTTCACATTAAAACTAGACAAAATCATTCTCAGAAACTCCTTTATGACGTGTGCATTCAACTCACAGTGTTGAACATTTCTTTTGATAGAACTGTTTTGAAACACTCTTTTTGTAAAATCTGCAACTGGATATATGTTGCTCTTTCAGGCCTATGGTGCAAAAAGAAATACCGTCACATAAAATCTAGACAGAAGCGTTTTCCAAAACTTCTTTGCGATGTGTGCATTCAAGTCACAGAGTTTAACATTTTTTTTTTGACAGAGCAGTTTTGAAAGACTCTTTTTGTAGAACCTGCAAGTTGATATTTGGTTCCTTTTGAGGACTATTTTGGAAAAAGAAATATCTTCACATAAACACCAGACAGAAGCATTCTCAGAAACTGCTTTGTGATGTGCGCATTCAACTCAGAAAGGTGAAACTTTCTTTTGATAGAGCAGTTTTGAAACACTCTTTGTGTAGAGTCGGCAAGTAGATATTTGGAGTGCGTTGAGGCCTATGGTGGAATAGGAAATATCTTCACACGAAAACTAGACAGAAGCATTCTCCGAAACCTTATTGAGATATGTGCATTAAACTCACAGAGTTGCACATTTCTTCTGATAGAGCAGTTTTGAAACACTCTTTTTGTAGAATCTGCAAGTGGATATTTGAAGAATTTTGAGGCGTATGGTGGAAAAGGAAATATCTTCACGCAAAAACTGGACAGAATCAATCTCCAAAACTTCTTTGTGATGTGTGCATTCAACTCACAGGGTTGAAACTTTCTTTTGACAGTGCAGTTCTGAAACAATCGTTTTGTAGGATCTGCAAGTGGATATTTGGTTTCCCTTGAGGCCTACGGTGAAAAATAA
Organism: Homo sapiens; assembly: GCF_000001405.40. Taxonomy (NCBI): domain Eukaryota; kingdom Metazoa; phylum Chordata; class Mammalia; order Primates; family Hominidae; genus Homo; species Homo sapiens. The sequence goes on from NC_000008.11 coordinate 43,914,070, forward strand.
ATTATCTTCACATAAAAACTAGACACAAGCATTCTCCAAAATGTCTTTGTAATGTGTGCATTCAACTCAAAAATTTGAACCTTTCTATTGATTGTGCAGTTTTGAAACACTCTTTTTGTAGAATCTGCAAAGGGATATTTGTTTCCCTTTGATGCCTAACTTGGAAAACGAAGTATCTTCACATGAAAACTAGACAGAGGCATTCTCCGAAAATTCTTTGTGATGTGTGCATTCAACTCACAGAGTTGAACCTTCCTTTTCATAGAGCAGTTTTGGAACAGTCTTTTTGTAGTATCTGCAACTGGATATTTGAAGTGCTTTGAGGCCTATGATGGAAATGCAAGTATCTTCACATAAAAACTAGACACAAGCATTTTCAGAAACTTGTTTGTGATGTGTGCATTCAACGAACAGAGTTGAACCTTTCTTTTGATAGAGCAGTTTTGAAACACTCTTTTTACAGAAACTGCAAGTGGACATTTGGAGCGATTTGCGGACTGTTGTGGAAAAGGAAATATCTTCAGATAGAAAGTAGATAGAAGCATTATCAGAAACTGCTATGTGATGTGTGAATTCAACTCACAGAGTTGAACCTTCCTTTTGGTAGAACAGTTTTGAAACACTTTTTGTAGAATCGGCAAGCAGGCATTTGGACCGCTTTGGTGCTTTCGGTGGAAACGGGAATATCTTCACATAAAAACTGGACAGAAGCATTCTCAGAAACTTCTTTTTGTGATGTGTGCATTCAACTCACAGAGTTGAACCTTTCTTTTGATAGCGCAGTTATGAAAAACTCTTTTTGTAGGATTTGCAAGTGTATATTTAGAGCACTTAGAGGCCTATGGTAGAAAAGGAAATATCTTCACATAAAAACTAGACAGAAGCATTCTCAGAAACAACTTGGTGATGTTTTCATTCATCTCACAGAGTTGAACCTTCCTTTTGATAGAGCGGTTTAGAAACACTCTTTTTGTAGAATCTCTAAGGTGATTTTTGGACTGCTTTGTGGCATTCGGTAGGAAAGGGAATATCTTCATATAAAAAATAGAAGGAAGCATTCCCAGAAACTACTTCATGATGTGGGCATTCATCTCACAGATTTGAACAGTTTTTTTGGTACAGCAGTTTTGAAACACTTTTAGTAGAATCTGCAAGTGCATATTTGGAGTGCTTTGAGGCCTTCAGTGGAAACGGGAATATCTTCACATAAAAACTAGACAGAAGCATTCTCAGAAACTTCTTTGTGATGTGTGCATTCAACTCACAGATTTGAGCCTTCCTTTTGGTAGAACAGTTTTGAAACACTCTTTTTGTGGAATCTGCAAGTGGATATTTGGAGCGCTTTGAGGCCTTCGGTGGAAATGGGAATATCTTCACATAAAAACTAGACAGAAGCATTCTCAGAGACTGCTTTGTGATGTGTGAATTCAACTCACAGAGTTGAGCCTTCCTTTTGATAGAGCACTTTTGAAACACTCTTTTTGTAGAATCTGAAGGTGGATATTTGGAGTGCTTTGAGGCCTTCGGTGGAAACGGGGATACGTTAACATAAAAACTAGACAGAAGCATTCTCAGAAACTTATTTGTGATGTGCGCATTCAACCCACAGAGTCGAAATTTTCTTTTGATAGAACAGATTTGAAACACTCTTTTTGGAACCTGCAATTGGATATTTGGTTTCCTTTGGGGCCTGTTTTTGAAAACAAAACACCCTCACAGAAGAACAAAACAGAAGCATTCTCAGAAACTTCTTTGGGTTGTGTGCACTCAACTCACAGAGTTGAAAGTTCCTTTTGATAGAGCAGTTTTGAAACACTCTTTCTGTAGAATCTGAATGTGGATATTTGGAGTGCTTTAGGTCTTTTGTAGAAAAGGATATATCTTCACATAAAAACTGGACAGAAGCATTCTCAGAAACTGCTTTGTGAAGTTTGAAATCAACTCACAGTGTCGAAACTTCCTTCTCATAGGGCAGTTTTCAAACCGTCTTTTTGTAGAATCTGCAAGTGGATATTTCGAGCACTTTGAGGCCTTCAATGGAAACGGGAATATCTTCACATAAAAACTAGAGAGAAGTATTCTCAGAAACTTCTTTGTGATGTGTGCATTCAACTCACAGAGTTGAACATTTCGTTTGATAGAACAGTTTTGAAACAGTCTTTCTGTAGAATCTGCAAGTGGACATTTGGAGCGCTTTGATGCCTGTGGTGAAAAAGGAAATATCTTCACATGAAAACTAGACAGAATCATTCTCAGAAACTACTTTGGGATGTGTGGATACAACTCACAGAGTTGAAACTTTCTTTTGATAGGGCAGTTTTGAAACAATCTTTTTGTAGAATCTGCAATGGACATTTGGAGCGCTTTGATGCCTAGGCTGAAAAAGGAAATATTTTCACATAAAAACTAGACAGAAGCATTCTCAGAAACTTCTTTGAGATGTTTGCATTCAGCACACAGAGTTGAACCTTCCTTTTCATAGAGCAGTTTTGAAACACTCTTTTTGTAGAATCTGCAAGTTTATATTTGGAGCGTTTGAGGCCTATGGTGGAAAAGGAAGTATCTTCACATAAAAAGTAGACAGAAGCATTTTCAGAAACTTTTTTGTGATGTGTGTATTCATCTGACAGAGTTGAACGTTTCTTTTCATAGAGAAGTTTTGAAACATTCTTTTTGTAGCATCTGCAAGTGGATATTTGGAGCGTTTTGAGTCCTACGGTCGGAAAGAAAGCATCTTCACATAAAAAGTAGACAGAAGCATTTTCAGAAACTTGTTGGTGATGTGTGCATTCAACTAACAGAGTTGAACCTTTCTTTTGATAGAGAAGTTTTGAAACACTCTTTTTGTAGTATCTGCAAGTGGATATTTGGAGCTCTTTTAGGCCTATGGTGGAAAAGGGAATATCTTCACATAAAAACTAGAGAGAAGCATTCTCAGAAACTTCTTTGTAATGTTTGCATTCAACTCAGAGTGTTTAACGTTTCTTTTCGATAGAGCAGTCTTCTAACATCTTTTTGTAGAATCTTCAAGTACATATTTGGACCGCTTTGAGGCCTATGGTAGAAAAGGAAATATCTTCGTATAAAAACTAGACAGAATCATTCTCAGAAACTACATTGTGATATTTGCATTCATCTCACAGAGTTGAACCTTCCTTTTGATAGAGCAGTTTGGAAACACTCTTTTTGTAGAATCTGCCAGTGGATATTTGGAGGGCTTTAAGGCCTTCAGTGGAAACGGGAATATCTTCACATAAAAACTAGATAGAAGCATTCTCAGAAACTACTTTGTGATGTGTGCATTCAACTCACAGAGTTGAACCCTTCTTTTCATAGAGCTGTTCTGAAACAACCTTTTTGTAGGATCTGCAAGTGGACATATGGAGCGCTTCAAAGATTGAGGTGGAAAAGGAATTATCTTCAAATAGAAACTAGACAGAAGTATTTTCAGAAACTTCTTTGTTATGTGTGCATTCAACTCAGAGTGTTGAACCTTCCTTTTGATAGAGCAGTTTTGAAACACACTTTTTGTATTATCTGCAAGTGGATATTTGGAGTGCTTTGAGGCCTACGGTGGAAAAGAAAATGTCTCCACATTAAAACTAGACAGAAGTATACCCAGAAACTTCTTCCAGATGTGTGCATTCAACTCACAGAATTGAACCTTTCTATTAATAGAGCAGTTTCGAAACACACGTTTTGTAGAATCTGCAAGTGTATGTTTGGTTCCATTTGAGGCCTATGGTGAAAAAGGAAATATCTTCACATAAAAACTAGACACAAGTATTCTCAGAAACTACTTTTTGAAGAGTGCATTCAACTCACAAATTTGAAATTTTCTTTTGATAGAGCAGTTTTGAAACACTCTTTTTGTAAAATCTGCAAGTGGATATTTAGAGCAATTTCAGGCTTGTAGTGGGAAAGGAAATATCTTCACATTAAAACTAGACAGAATCATTCTCAGAAACTTCTTTGTGATGTGTGCATTCAACTCACAATGTTGAACCTTTCTTTTGATAGAACAGATTTGAAACACTCTTTTCCTAAAATCTGCAAGTGGATATATGATGCACTTTCAGTCCTACGGTGGAAATGGGAATATCTTCACATAAAAACTAGATAGAAGCATTCTCAGAAAATTCTTCGTGATGTGTGCATTCAACTCACAGGGTTGAAACTTTCTTATGATAGTGCAGTTTTGAAACACTCTTTTTGTGGGATCTGTAAGTGGATATTTGGAGTGCTTTGTGGCCTATGGTAGAAAAGGAAATGTCTTCATATAAAAACTAGACAGAAGCATTCTCAGAAGCTATTTTGTGATGTATGCCTTCAACTCACATAGTTGAAAGTTGTTTTTTTAGAGCAGTTTTGAAACCCTCTTATTGTAGAGTTTCCAAGTGGATATTTTGAGCACTTTGATGCCTACAGTGAAAAAGGAAATATCTTCACATAAAAACTAGACAAAATTATTCTCAGAAACTTCATCTTTGTGATGTTTGCATTCACCTCACAGAGTTGAACATTCCTTTTCATAGAGCTGTTTTGAAACATTCCTTTTGTGGAATTTGCAAGTGGATATTTGGAGTGCTTTGAGGCATTTGGTAGAAAAGGAAATATCTTCACATAAAAACTAGACAGAAGAATTCTTAGAAACTTCTTTGTGATGTGTGAATTCAAATCACAGAGTTGAGCCTTTCTTTAGATAGAGCAGCTTTAAAACACTCTTTTAGTAGAATCTGCAAGTGTACATTTGGAGTGCTTAAAGGCCTGAGGTGGAAAAGGAAATATCTTCAGATAGAAACTATACAGAAGCATTCTCAGAAATTTCTTTGTGATGTGTGCATTCAACTCACAGATATGAACCTTTATTTTGTTAGAGCAGTATTGAAACACTCTTTTTGTAGAATCTGCAACTGGATATTTGGATTACTTTGAGGCCTTCGGTGGAAACGGGAATATCTTCACATAAAAACTAGACAGAAGCATTCTCAGAAACTTCTTTGTGATGTGTGCATTCAACTGAGAGAGCTGAACCTGTCTTTTCATAGAGCAGTTTTGAAAGAGTCTTTTTGTAGTATTTGCAAGTGGATATTTGGAGCACTTTGAGGCCTAGGGTGTGAAAAAGCAAGTATCTTCACATAGAAAGTAGACTGAAGCATTCTCAGAAACTTGTTTTCTATGTGTGCATTCAACTAACAGAGTTGAACCTTTCTTTGGATAGAACTGTTTCAAAAATCTCCCTTTGTAGAATCTGCAAGTGGATATTTGGAGCTCTTTGAGGCCTACGGTGGAAACGAGAATATCTTCACATAATAACTACAAAGAAGTATTTTTAGAAAGTACTATTTGATTTTGCATTCAACTCAGAGAGTTGAACCTTCATTTTGATAGAGCAGTTTTCAGACACTCTTTTTGTAGAATCTGCAGTTGGGTATTTGGAGTGCTTTGAGGCCTATTGTAGAAAAAGAAATATCTTCATATAAAAATTAGACAGAAGCCTTCTCAGAAACTAGTTTGTGAATTGTGCATTCAACTCACAGAGCTGAACCTTTCTTTTGATACAGCAGTTTTGAAACACTCTTTTTGTAGAATCTGGAAGAGGACATTTGGAGCGTTTTGAGGCTTGTGGTGAAAAAGGGAATATCTTCACATAAAAACTAGACAGAAGCATTCTCAGAAACATCTTTGTGATGTTGGCATTCAACTAACAGAATTGAACTTTTCTTCTGAAACAGTAGTTTTGAAACACTCTTTTTGTAGAATCTGCAAGTAGATATTTGGAAGTCTTTTAGGCCTACGGTGGAAATGGGAATATCGTCACATAAAAACTAGACAGAAGCATTCTCAGAAACTTCTTTGTGATATGTACATTCAACTGAGATAATTGAACCTTCATTTTGATAGAGCAGCTTTGAAGCACACTTTTTGTAGAATCTGCAAGTGGATATTTGGAGCGTTTTGAGGCCTTCAGTGGAAAGGGGAATATCTTCCCATTAAAACCAGTCAGAAGCATTCTCAGAAACTTCTTTGTGATGTGTGCATTCAACTCACAGAGATGAACCTTTCTTTTGATGATAGAGCACTTTCAAAACACTGTTTTTGTAGAATCTGTGCTTGGACATTTGGAATGCCTTGAGGCCTGTGGTGAAATAGGATATATCTTTACATAGAGACAATTCAGAAGCATTCTCAGAAACTTCTTTCTGATGTGTGCATTCAACTCACAGCGTTGAACCCTCCTTTAAATGGAGCAGTTTTGAAACACTCTTCTTGTAGAATCTGCAAGTGAATATTTGGAGCAATTTGAGGACTAAGGTAGAAAAGGAAATATCCTCATATAAAAACTAGACAGAAGCATCCTCAGAAACTACTTTGTGATGTGAGCATTCAACTCAGAGTTGAAACTTTCTTTTGCTAGAGGAGTTTTGAAACACTCTTCTTGTAGAATCTGAAAGTGGACATTTGGAGCGCTTTGATGCCTATGGTGAAAAAAAATATTTTCACATAAACGCTAGACAGAAGCATTCTCAGAAACTTATTCGTGATGTTTGCATTCAACTGACAGAGTTGAACATTCCTTTTCATAGAGCAGTTTTGAAAGAGTCTTTTTGTAGAATCCAAAGGTGGATATATGGAGTGCTTTGTGGCCAACGGTGGAAACGGGAATATCTTCACATAAAAACTATACAGAAGCCTTCTCATAAACTACTTTGTGATGTGTACATCAACTCACAGAGGTAAGCCTTCTTTTTGATAGAGTAGTTTTGAAACACTCTCTTTGTAGATTCTGCAAGTGGATATTTGGAGCGCTATGAGGTCTGTGGTGGAAAAGGAAATATCTTCAAAAAGAAACTAGACAGAAGCATGTTCAGAAACTTCTTTGTGATGTGTGCACTCAACTCACAGAGTTAAATCTTCCTTTTGATAGAGCAGTTTTGAAACACTCTTTTTGTAGAATCTGCAAGTGGATATTTGGAGCGCTTTGGGGCCTATGATAGAAAAGGAAATAACTTCATATAAAAATTCGGAGAACCATTCTCAAAAACTACGTTGTGATGTGTGTATTCAACTCACAGAGTTGAACCTTTCTTTTGATAGAGGAGTTTTGAAACACTCTTTTTGTAGTATCTGCAAGTGGATATTTATAGCTTTTTGAGGCCTACGGTGTAAACGGGAATATCTTCACATAAAAACTAGACAGAAGAATTCTCAGAAACTTCTTCATGATGTGTGCATTCAACTCAGAGAGTTGAACCTTCCTTTTGTTAGAGCAGTTTTGAAACACTGCTTTTGTAGAATCTGCAAGTGTATATTTGGAGTGCTTTGAGGCCTATGGTAGAAAAGGAAATAATGCCATATAAAAACTAGACGGAAGCATTCTCAGAAACTACTTTGTGATGTGTGCATTCAACTAACAGATATGAACCTTTCTTTTGATAGAGCAGTTTAGAAACACTCTTTTTGTAGAATCTGCATGTGGATACTTGGATCTTTTTGAGGCCTATGGTGGAAACAGGAATATCTTCACATAAAAACTAGACAGAAGTATTTTCAGACACTTCTTTGTGATGTGTGCATTCAAATCAGAGCACTCAACTTTCCTTTTTATAGCGCAGTTTTGAAATACCCTTTTCGTACAATCCACAAGTGGATATTTGGAGCTCTTTGAGGTCTATGTTAGAAAAGGAAATATCTTCATATAAAAAGTAGACAGAAGCATTCTCAGAAACTACTTCATGTTGCTTGCATTCAACTCACAGAGTTGAACTTTTTTTTGATAGAGCAGTTTTGAAACACTCTTTTTCTATAATCTTCAAGTGAATGTTTGAAGCACTTTGAGGTATTCAGTGGAAACGGGAATATCTTCACATAAAAACCAGACAGAGGCATTCTCAGAAACTTCTTTGTGATGTGTGCTTTCACCTTACAGAGTTGAAACTTCCTTTTCATAGAGCAGTTTTTAAACACTCTTTTTGTAGAATCTGCAAGTGGACATTTGAAGCGCTTTGAGCCTATGGTGAAAAAGGAAATACCTTCACTTAAAAATTAGACAGGAGCATTCTCAGAAACTCCTTCATGATGTGTGCATTCAACTCACAGAGTTGAACCCTCCTTTACATCGAGCAGTTTTGAAACAGTCTTTTTGTAGAATCTTCAAGTGGATAATTGGAGCCCTTTGAGTCCTATGGAGGAATAGGAAGTATCTTCAAATAAAAAGTAGATGGAAGCTTTCTCAGAAACTTGTTTGTGATGTGTGCATTCCACTAACAGAGTTGAACTTTTCTTTTCTTTTGATAGAGCAGTTTTGAAAGAGTCTTTAGAAAGCTGAAACTGGATCCCTTCCTTACACCTTATACAAAAATCAATTCAAGGCGGATTAAAGATTTAAACGTTAGACCTAAAACCATAAAAACCTTAGAAGAAAACCTAGGCATTACCATTGAGGACATAGGCATGGGCAAGGACTTCATGTCCGAAACACCAAAAGCTATGGCAACAAAAGACAAAATTGACAAATGGGATCTAATTAAACTAAAGAGCTACTGCACAGCAAAAGAAACTACCATCAGAGTGAACAGGCAACCTAAAAAATGGGAGAAAATTTTCATAACCTACTTATCTGACAAAGGGCTAATATCCAGAATCTACAATGAACTCAAACAAATTGACAAGAAAAAAACAAACAACCCCATCAAGAAGTGGGCGAAGGACATGAACAGACACTTCTCAAAAGAAGACATTTATGCAGCCAGAAAACACATGGAAAAATGCTCATCATCACTAGCCATCAGAGAAATGCAAAGCAAAACCATTATGAGATACCATCTCACACCAGTTAGAATGGCAATCATTAAAAATCAGGAAACAACAGGTGCTGGAGAGGATGTGGAGAAATAGGAACACTTTTACACTGTTGGTGGGACTGTAAACTAGTTCAACCATTGTGGAAGTCAGTGTGGCGATTCCTCAGGGATCTAGAACTAGAAATAACATTTGACCCAGCCGTCCCATTACGGGGTATATACCCAAAGGACTATCAATCATGCTGCTATAAAGACACATGCACACATTATGTTTATTGCAGCATTATTCACAATAGCAAAAACTTGGAACCAACCCATATGTCCAACAATGATAGACTGGATTAAGAAAATGTGGCACATATACACCATGGAATACTATGCAGCCATAAAAAATGATGAGTTCATGTCCTTTGTAGGGACATGGATGAAATTGGAAATCATCATTCTCAGTAAACTATCGCAAGAACAAAAAACCAAACAACACATATTCTCACTCATAGGTGGGAATTGAACAATGAGATCACATGGACACAGGAAGGGGAATATCACACTCTGGGGATTGTGGTGGGGTGGGGGGAGGGGGGAGGGATAGCATTGGGAGATATACCTAATGCTAGATGACGAGTTGGTGGGTGCAGCGCACCGGCATGGCACATGTATACATATGTAACTAACCTGCACAATGTGCACATGTACCCTAAAACTTAAAGTATAATTAAAAAAATAAATAAATAAATAAATAAATAAAAGAAAGAGTCTTTTTGTATAATCTGCAAGTGGATATTTGGACCGCTTTGAGGCCTCCGGTGGAAACGAGAATATCTTCATATAAAAACTAGACAGAAGTATTCTCAGAAACTTCTTTGAGATGTGTGCATTCAACTCAGAGAGTGGAAAGTTCCTTTTGTTAGACCAATTTTGAAACACTGTTTTTGTAGAATCTGCAAGTGGATATTTGGAGCACTTTGAGGCCTACAGTAGAAAAGGAAATATCTTCACATAAAAACTAGACAGAAGGATTCTGAGAAACAGCTTTGTGATGTGTGCATTCCACTAACAGAGTTCAACCTTTCTTTTGATAGAGCAGTTTTGAAACACACTTTTTGTAGAATCTGTAAGTGGATATTTGGATCTGTTTGAGGCCTACGGTGGAAACAGGAATATCTTCACATAAAAACTAGACAGAAGCATTCTCAGAAACTTCTTTGTGATGTGTGCATTCAACTCAGAGAGTTTAACCTTCCTTATGATAGAGCAGTTTTCAAACACTGTTTTTGAATAATCTGCAAGTGGATATTTGGGGCGATTTGAGGCCTATAGTAGAAAATGAAATATCTTCATATAAAAACTAGACAGAAGTATTCTCAGAAACTATTTTGTGATGTGTGCATTCAACTCAGAAAGTTGAACCTTTCTTTTGATAGAGCAGTTTAGAAACACTCTTTTTGTAGAATCTGCAAGTGGATATTTGGAGCAGTTGGAGGCTTGTGGTAGAAAAGGAAATATCTTCATATGAAAATTAGACAGAAGCATTCCAAGAAACTATTTTGTGATGTTTGCATTCAACTCATAGAGATGAACATTTTTTTTTTGATAGAGCAGTTTTGAAATGCTCTTTTTGTAGAATCGGCAAGTGGATATTTGGAGGGCTTTGAGGCCTTCGGTGGAAAAGGGAATATCTTCACATAAAAACTAGACAGAAGTATTCTCAGAAACTTCTTTGTGATGTGTGCATTCAACTTACAGAGTTGAACCTTCCTTTTTATAGACCAGTTTTGAAACACTCTTTTTGTAGAATCTGCAAGTGAATATTTGGAGCGCATTGAGGCCTATGGTAGAAAAGGAAATATCTTCATAAAAAAATTAGGAGAAGCATTTTCAAAAAGTACATCGTGATGTGTGTAGTCAACCCACAGAATTCAACCTTTCTTTTGATAGAGCAGTTTTGAGACACTTGTTTTGAATGATCTGCAAGTAGATATTTGTAGCTCTTTGAGGCCTATGGTGGAAACGGTCATATTTTCACATGCAAACTCGACAGAAGCATTCTAAGAAACTGCTTTGTGATGTGTGCATTCAACTCAGAGTGTTTAACTTTCCTTATGATAGAGCAGTTTTGAAACACTCTTTTTGTAGAATCTGCAAGTGTATATTTGGAGCACTTTGAGACCTATAGTAGAAAATGAAAAAACTCCATATAAAAACTAGACAGAAGCATTATCAGAAACTACTTTGTAATGTGTGCATTCAACTAACAGATTTGAACCTCTCTTTCGATAGTGCAGTTTTGAAACACTCTTTTTGTAGAATCTGCATGTGGATATTTGGATCTCTTTGAGGCCTACGTTGGAAACAGGAATATCATCACATAAAAACTAGACAGAAGTATTTTCAGAAACTTCTTTGTGATGTGTGCATTCAAATCAGAGCGTTGAATATTCCTTCTTACAGAGCAGTTTTGAAATACCTTTTTTGTACAATCTGCAAGTGGATATTTGGAGCGCTTTGAGGCCTATGTTAGAAAAGGAAATATCTTCATATAAAAATTAGACAGAAGCAGTCTCAGAAACTACTTCATGTTGCGTGCATTCAACTCACAAGTTGAACATTTTTTTTTTTTTTGATAGAGCAGTTTTGAAAAACTCTTTTTGTAGAATCTGCAAGTGAATATTTGGAGCGCTTTGTGGCCTTAGGTGGAAACGGGAATATCTTCACATAAAAACTAGACAGAAGCATTGTCAGAAACTTCTTTATGATGTGTGCATTTAACTGACTGTGTTGAACCTTCCTTTTCATAGAGCAGTTTTTAAACATTCTTTTTGTAGAATCTGCAGATGGACATTTGGAGGGCTTTGATGCCTATGGTGAAAAAGAAAATACCTTCACATAAAAATTATACAGAAGCATTCTCAGAAACTCCTTCGTGATGTGTGCATTCAGCTCACAGAACTGAACCTTCCTTTACATAGAGCAGTTTTGAAACAGTCTTTTTGTAGAATCTTCAAGTGGATAATTGGAGTGCTTTGAGGCCTATGGAGGAAAAGGAAGTATCTTCATATAAAAAGTAGACGGAAGCATTCTCAGAAACTTGTTTGTGATGTGTGCATTCCACTAACAGAGTTGAACCTTTCTTTTGATAGAGCAGTTTTGAAAGAGTCTTTTTGTAGAATCTGCAAGTGGATATTTGGACCGCTTTGAGGCCTCCGGTGGAAACGGGAATATCTTCATATAAAAACTAGGCAGAAGCATTCTCAGAAACTTCTTCGAGATGTGTGTATTCAACTCAGAGAGTTGAAACTTCCTTTTGTTAGAGAAGTTCTGAAACACTGTTTTTGTAGAATCTGCAAGTGGATATTTGGAGCACTTTGGGGTCTATGGTAGAAAAGGAAATATCTTCAGATAAAAAGTAGACAGAAGCATTCTCAGAAACTTCTTTGTGATATGTGCATTCAACTCAGAGAGTTTAACCTTCCTTAAGATAGAGCAGTTTTGAAACACTGTTTTTGTAGAATCTGCAAGAGGATATACGGAGCGATTTGAGGCCTATGGTAAAGAAGGAAATATCTTCATATGAAAAGTAGACAGAATTATTCTCAGGAATTATTTTGTGATGTGTGCATTCAACTCAGAAATTTGAGCCTTCCTTTAGATAGAGCAGTTTAGAAACACTCTTTTTGTAGAATCTACAAGTGGATATTTGGAGCACTTTGAAGCCTATGGTAGAAAAGGATATATCTTCATATGAAAATTAGACAGAAGCATTCTCAGAAACTATTTGCGATGTGTGTATTCAACTCACAGAGTTGAAATATTCTTTTGATAGAGCAGTTTTGAAACACACTTTTTGTAAAATCTGCAAGTGAACATTTGGAGGGCTCTGAGGCCTTCGGTGGAAATGGAAATATCTTCACATAAAAAATAGAAACATTCTCAGAAACTTCTTTGTGATATGTGCATTCAACTCAGAGAGTTTAACCTTCCTTTTGATAGAGCAGTTTTGAATTACTGTTTTTGTGGAATCTGCAAGTGGATATTTGGAGCTATTTGTGGCCTATGTTAGAAAAAGTAATATCTTCATATAAAAACTAGACATAAGTATTCTCAGAAACTATTTTGTGATGTCTGCATTCAACTCAGAGAGTTGAGACTTCCTTTAGATAGAGCAGTTTAGAAATACTCTTTTTGTAGAATCTGCATGTTGGAATTTGGAGCACTTTGAGGCCTATGGTAGAAAAGGAAATATCTTCATATGAAAATTAGACAGAAGCATTCACAGAAACTACTTTTTGATGAGTGTATTCAACTCACTGAGTTGAACCTTTCTTCTGATAGAGCAGTTTTGAAACACTCTTTTTGTAGAATCTGCAAGTGAACATTTGGAGGGCTCTGAGGCCTTCGGTGGAAATGGGAATATCTTCACATAAAAACTAGACCGAAGCACTCTTACCAACTTTTTTGTGATGTGTGCATTCAACTTACAGAGTTGAACCTTCCTTTCAATAGAGCGGTTTTGAAACACTCTGTTTGTAGAATCTGCAAGTGGATATTTGGAGTGCTTTTAGGCCTATGGTAGACAGGGAAATATCTTCATATAAAAATTAGGGGAAGCATTCTCAAAAACTACTTTGTGATGTGTGTATTCAACTCACAGAGTTGAACCTTTCTTTTGATAGAACAGTTTTGAAACACTCTACTGTAGAATCTGCAAGTGGATAATTATAGCTCTTTGAGGCCTATAGTGGAAACGGGAATATCTTGACATAAAAACTAGACAGAAGCATTCTCAGAAACTTATTTCTGATGTGTGCATTCAACTCATAGTGTTGAACCTTCTTTATGATAGAGCACTTTTGAAACACTCTTTTTGTAGAATCTGCAAGTGGATATATGGAGCGCTTTGAGGCCTATGGTAGAAAAGGAAATATATTCATATAAAAACTAGACAGAAGCATACTCAGAAACTATTTTGTGATGTGTGCATTGAACTCACAGAGTTGTACCTGCCTTTCATTGAGCAGTTTTCAAACAGTCTTTTTGTAGTATCTGCAAGTGGATATTTAGAGCGCTTTGAGGCCTATGGTGGAAAAGGAAGTATCTTCACATAAAAAGTAGACAGAAGCATTCTCAGAAACCACTTTGTGATCTGTGCATTCAACTAATAGAGATGAACCTTCCTTTTCATAGAGCAGTTTTTAAACACTCTTTTTACAGAATCTGCAAGTGGACATTTGGAGCGCTTTGATGCCTATGGTGAAAGAGGAAACACCTTCACGTAAAAACGGCACATATACACCATGGAATACTCTGCAGCCATAAAAAATTATGAGTTCGTGTCCTTTGTAGGGACATGGATGAAATTGGAAATCATCATTCTCAGTAAACTATCACAAGAAGGAAAAACCAAACACCGCATAATCTCACTCATAGGTGGGAATTGAACAATGAGATCACATGGACACAGGAAGGGGAACATCACACTCTGGGGACTGTTGTGGGGTGGGCGGAGGGGGGAGGGATAGCATTGGGAGATATACCTAATGCTAGATGACGAGGTAGTGGGTGCTGTGCACTAGCATGGCACACGTATACATAAGTAACTAACATGCACAATGTGCGCATGTACCCTAAAACTTAAAGTATAATAATAAAAGAAAAAAAAATTAGACAGAAGCATTCTCAGAAACTGCTTGGTGATGTGTGCATTCAACTCACAGAGTTGAACCTTCCTTTTCACAGAGCAGTTTTGAAACGGTCTTTTTGTAGAATTTTCAAGTGGGTAATTTTAGCACTTTGAGGCCTATGGAGGAAAAGGAAGTATCTTCATATAAAAATTAGATGGAAGCATTCTCAGACACTTGTTTGTGGTGTGTACATTCCACTAACAGAATTGAACCTTTCTTTTGATAGAGCAGTTTTGAAAGACTCTTTTTGTAGAACCTGCAAGAGGATATTTGGACCGCTTTGAGGACTGTTGTGGAAAAGGAAATATCTTCACATTAAAACTAGACAGAAGTATGCTCAGAAACTTCTTCATGATGTGTGCATTGAACTCAGAGAGTTGAAATTTCCTTTTGTTAGAGCAGTTTTGAAACACTGTTTTTGTAGAATCTGCAAGTGGATATTTGGATCACTTGGAGGCCTATGGTAGAAAAGGAAATATCTTCATATAAAAACTAGACAGAAGCATTCTCAGAAACTACTTTGTTATGTGTGCATTCAACTAACAGATTTGAACCCTTATTTTGATAGAGCAGTTATGAAAAACTCTTTTTGTAGAATCTGCATGTGAATATTTGGATCTGTTTGAGGCCTCCAGTGGAAACGGGAATACCTTCACTTAAAAACTAGACAGAAGCATTCTCGGAGACTATTTTGTGTTGTGTGCATTCAACTCAGAGAGTTTAAACTTCCTTATGATAGAGCAGTTTTGAAACACTGTTTTTGTAGAATCTGCAAGTGGATATTTGGAGCGATTTGAGGCCTATGATAGAAAAAGAAATATCTTCACATAAAAATTAGACAGAAGTATTCTGAGAAACAATTTTGTGATGCGTGCATTCAACTCAGAGGGTTGAACATTCCTTTTGATAGAGCAGTTTAGAAACACCCTTTTTGTAGAATCTGCAAGTGGATATTTGGAGCAATTTGAGGCCTATGGTAGAAAAGGAAATATCTTCATATGAAAATTAGACAGAAGCTTTCTCAGAAACTACTTTGTGATGTTTGCATTCAACTCACAGAGTTGAACAATTTTTTTGATAGAGCAGTTTTGAATCACTCTTTTTGTAGAGTCTGCAAGTGGATATTTGGAGGGCTTTGAGGCCTTTCGTGGAAATGGGAATATCTTCACTTAAACACTAGACAGAAGCATTCTCAGAAACTTCTTTGTGATGTGTGCATTCAACTTACCGAGTTGAACCTTCTGTTTGATAGAGCATTTTGAAACACTCTTTTTGTAGTATCTGCAATTGGATATTTGGAGCACCTTGAGGCCTATGGTAGAAAAGGAAATATCTTCATAAAAAAATTAGGAGAAACATTCTCAAAAACTACGTTGTGATGTGTGTATTCAACTCAGAGTTGAAACTTTCTTTTGATAGAGCAGATTTGAAACACTCTTTTTGTAGAATCTGCAAGTGGATATTTATATCTCTTTGAGGCCTACGGTGGAAACAGGAATATCTTCACATAGAAACTAGACAGAAGCATTATCAGAAACTCCTTTGTGATGTGTGCATTCATCTAAGAGACTTGAACTTTTATTTTGATAGAGCAGTTTTGAAACACTCTTTTTGTTGAATCCGAAAGTGGATATTTGGACTGCTTTGTGGCCTTCGGTGGAAACGGGAATATCTTCACATAAAAACTAGACAGAAATATTCTCAGAAACTACTTTGTGATGATTGCATTCAACTCACAGATTTCCACCTTCCTTTTCATAGAGCCGTTTTGAAACAGTCTTTTTGTAAATTCTGCAGTTGGATATTTGGAGGGCTTTGAGGCCTTTGGTGGAAAAGGATGTGTCTTCACATAAAAGTAGACAGAAGCACTCTCAGAAACTTCTTTGTGATGTGTGCATTCACCTAACAGTGTTGAAGCTTTCTTTTGATAGAGCAGTTTTGAAACACTGTTTTTGTGGAATCTGCAAGTGGATATTTGGAGCGCTTTGAGGCCTATGGTAGAAAAGGAGATAACTTCATACAAGAACTAGACAGAAGCATTCTCAGAAGCTACTTTGTGATGTGTGCATTCAACTCACAGAGTTGAACCTTTCTTTTGTTACAGCAGTTTTGAAACACTCTTTTTGTAGAATCTGCAAGTGGATATTTTTAGCTCTTTGATGCCTATGGTTAAAACGGGAATATCTTCACATAAAACCCAGACAGAAGCATTCTCAGAAACTACTTTGTGATGATTGCATTCAACTCACAGAGTTGAACATTTGTTTTCATAGAGTTGTTTGAAACACTCTTTTTGTAGAATCTGCAAGTGGATATTTGGACCACTTTGAAGCCTTCGGCGGAAACGGGAATATCTTGACATGAAAACTAGACACAAACATTCTCAGGAAGTTTTTTTGTGATGTGTGCTTTCAACTCACAGTGTTGAACCTTCCTGTTCATAGAGCAGTTTGTAACGCTCTTTTTGTAGAATCTGCAAGTGGACATCTTGAGGGCTTTGATGCCTATGTTAAAAAATGAAATACCTACACATAAAAAGTTGACAGAAATATTCTGAGAAACTTATTTGTGATGTGTGCATTCAACTCACATATTTGTGATGTGTGCATTCAACTCACAGAGTTGAAACTTGCTTTTCTTAGAGCAGTTTTGAAACAGTCTTTTTGTAAATTCTTCAAGTGGATAATTGGAGCCCTTTGAGGCCTATGGAGGAAAAGGAAGTATCTTTATATAAAAAGTAGACAGAAGCATCCTCAGAAACTTGTGTGTGATGTGTGCATTCCACTAACAAATTTGAACCTTTCTTTTGATAGAGCAGTTTTGAAACACTCTTTTTGTAGTATCTGCATGTGGATATTTAGATCTCTTTCAGGCCTACGGTGGAAACGGGATTATCTTCATATAAATACTAGACAGAAGTATTTTCAGAAACTTCTTTGTGCTGTGTGAATTAAACTCAGAGAGTTGAACCTACCTTTATAGAGCAGTTTTGAAATACTTCTTTTGGAAAACCTGCAAGTGGATATTCGGATCGCTTTGAGATCTATGGTAGAATAGGAAATATCTTCATATAAAAATTAGACAGAAGCATTCTCAGAAACCAGTTCATGATGCATGCATTCAACTCACAGAGTTGAACAGTTCTTTTGATATAGCAGTTTTGAAACACTCTTTTTGTAGAATCTGCAAGTGGGTATTTGAAGCGCTTTGAGGCCTTCTTTGGAAATGGGAATATCTTCACAAAATCTAGACAGAAGCATTCTCAGAAACTTCTCTGTGATGTGTGCATTCAACTAACAGAGGTGAACCTTTCTTTTGAGAGAACAATTTTGAAACTCTCTTTTTGTAGAATCTGCAAGTGGACATTTGGAGGTTTTTGAGACCTGTGGTGGAAATGAAAATATCTTCACATAGAAACTTGACAGAAGCATTCTCAGTAACTTCTTTTTGATGTGGGCATTCAACTCACAGAGTTGAACCTTCCTTTTGATAGCGTAGTTTTGAAACACTCTTTTTGTAGAATCTGCAAGTGGAGATTTACAGATCTTTGGGGCCTACGGTGGAAACGGGAATATCTTCACATAAAAGCTAGACAGAAGCATTCTCATAAACTACTTTGTGATTTGTGCATTCAACTCAGGGAGTTGAACTTTCTTTGTGATACAGCAGTTTTGAAACACTCTTTTTGCAAGAATCTGCAAGTGGATACTTGGAGCACTTAGAGGCCTATGGCAGAAAAGGACATAACTTCATATAGAAACTAGACATAAGCATTCTCAGAAACTATTTTGTGAAGTGTGCATTTAACTCACAGGGTTGAACCTTTCTTTCTTTTGATAGAGCAGATTTGAAACACTCTTATTCTAGAGTCTGCAAGTGGATATTTGGAGCGCTTTGATGCCTGTAGTGGAAAAAGAAATATCTTCACATAAAAACTAGACAGCACTATTGTCAGAAACTTTTTTGTGATGTTTGCATTCACCTCACAGAGTTGAACATTTTTTTTCATAGAAAAGTTTTGAAAAACTCTTTTTGTAGAATCTACAAGTGCATACTGGGACCGTGTTGAGGCCTTCGGTGGAAACGGGAATATCTTCACATAAAAACTATACAGAAGCATTCTCAGAAACTTCTTTGTGATGTGTGCATTCAACTCATAGATTTGAACCTTCCTTTTGATAGAGCAGTTTTGAAATGCTCTTTTTTTAGAATCTGCAAGTGGATATTTGTAGCGCTTTTAGGCCTTTGGTGCAAATGGGAATATCTTCACATAAAAACTAGACAGAAGTATTTTCAGAAACTTCTTTGTGATGTGTGCATTCAACCCAGAGTTTTGAACCTTTCTTGTGATAGAGCCGTTTTGAAACAGTCTTTTTGTATAATCTTCAAGTGGATAATTAGAGGAATTTGAGGCCTATGGAGGAAAAGGAAGTATCTTCATATAAAAAGTAGATGGAAGCATTCTCAGAAACTTGCTTGTTATTTGTGCATTTCACTAGCAGAGTTAAACCTTCCTTATGAAAGAGCAGTTATGAAACTCTCTTTTTGTAGAATATGCAAGTGGATATATGGAGTGCTTCAAGGCCTTCAATGGAAACGGGAATATCTTCTCATAAAAACTAGACGGAATCATTCTCAGAAACTATTTTGTGATGTTTGTATTCAACTCAGAGAGTTGAACATTCCTTTTGATAGAGCAGTTTTTAAACACTTTTTTTGTAGAATCTGCAAGTGGATATTTGGACCACTTTGAGGCCTTCAGTAAAAACGGGATTATCTTCACATAAAAGCTAGACAGAAGCATTCTCCGAAACCTCTGTGTGATGTGTGCATTCAACTCACAGAGTTGAACCATTCTTTTCATAGAGTAGTTTTGAAACAGTTTTTTTGTAGAATCTGCAAGAGGATATTTAGAGCGCTTTGAGGGCTGTGGTGGAAAAGGAAATATCCTTACATAAAAAGTACACAGAAGCGTTCTCAGAAACTTCTTTGTGATGTGGGCATTCAACTAACAGAGGTGAACATTCCTTTTGATAGAGCAGTTTTGAAACACTCTTTGTGTAGAACCTGCAAGTGGATATTTGGAGCGCTTTGAAGTCTGTCATGGAAAACGAAGTATCTTCACATAAAAAAGAGACAGAAGCATTCTTTGTAACTGCTTTGTGATGTGTGCATTCAACTCACAGGGTTGAACATTCCTCTTGTTAGAGGAGTTTTGAAATACTCTCTTTGTAGAATCTGCAAGTGGATATTTGGAGCTCTTTGAGGCCTACGGTGGAAATGGGAATATCTTCACATAAAAACTAGACAAAAGCTTTCTCAGAAAATTCTTTGTGATGTGTGCATTCAACTCAGAGAGTTGAACCTTCCTTTCCATAGAGCAGTTTTGAAACACTCCTTTTGTAGTCTCTGCAAGTGGACATTTGGAGCGTTTTGAGGCCTCTGGTGGAAAAGGAAATACCTTCACATAGAACCTAGATAGAAGTATTCTCAGAAACTTATTTGTGATGTGTGCATTTAAATCACAAAGTTGAACCTTCCTTTGTATAGAGCACTGTTGAAACTCTCTTTTTGTAAAATCTGCAAGTGGACATTTGGAGCCCTTTGATGACTGTGGTAAAAAGAAATATCTTCACATAACTAGACAGTAGCATTCTCACAAATTTCTTTGAGATGTTTGCATTCAACTCACAGAGTTGAACGTTCCTTTTCATAGAGCAGTTTTGAAATACACTTTTTGTAGAAGCTGCAGGTGTATATTTGGACTGCTTTGAGGCCTTCAGTGGAAACGGGAATATCTTCACTTAAGAACTAGACAGAAGCATTCTCAGAAACTTCTGTGTGACGTGTGTATTGAACTCACACATTTGAACTGTCCTTTTGATAGAGCTGTTTTGAAACACTCTTTTTGTAATATCTGCAAGTGGATATGTGGAGCCCTTTGAGGCCTTCGGTGGAAATGGGAATATCTTCACATAATAACTACAGAGAAGCATTCTCAGAAACTACTTTGTGATATGTGCATTCAACTCACTGAGTTGAAACTTTCTTTTGATAGAGCAGTTTTGAAACACTCTTTTTGTAGAACCTTCAATTGGGCATTTGAGCGCTATGAGGCTTGTGGTGGAAAAGGCAATATCTTCACATAGAAACAAGACAGAAGCATTCTCACAGACTTCTTTCTGATGTGGGCATTCAACTCACAGAGGTGAACCTTCCTTTTGATAGAGCAGTTTTGAAACACTCTTTTTGTATAATCTACAAGTGGATATTTATAGCTCTTTGAGGCCTACAGTTGAAATGGGAATATCTTCACATAAAAATTAGACAGAAGCATTCTCAGAAACTACTTTGTGATGATTCTGTTCAACTCAAAAAGTTGAACATTCCTTTTGATAGAGCAGTGTTGAAACACTCTTTTTGTAGTATCTGCAGGTGGACATTTGGACCGTTTTGAGGCCCTTGGTGGAAATGGGAATATCGTCACATAAAAACTAGACAGAAATATTTTCAGAAACTTCTTTGTGTGGTGTGCATTCAACTCACAGAGTTGAAGCTTCCTTTTCATAGAGCAGTTTTGAAACAGTCTTTTTGTAGAATCTGCAGGTGGATATTTGGAGCGCTTTGAGGCCTGTGGTGGAAAAGGATGTATCTTCACATAAAAGTAGTCAGATGCATTCTCAGAAACTTCTTTGTGATGTGTGCATTCAACTAAGAGAGTTGAAACTTTCTTTTCATAGAGCAGTTTTGAAACTCTGTTTTTGGAATATCTGCAAGTGGATATTTGGAGCGCTTTGAGGCCTATTGTAGGAAAGGAAATAACTTCATAGAAAAACTAGACAGAAGCATTCTCAGAAACTAGTTTGTGATGTATGCATTCGACTCACAGAGTTGAACATTTGTTTTGATAGAGCAGATATTTGAAACACTCTTTTTGTAGAATTTGCTAGTGGATATTTGGAGCACTTTGATGCCTATGGAGAAAAAGGAAATATCCTCACATAAAAACTAGACAGAAGCAGTCTGAGAAACTTCTTTGTGATGTTTGCATTCAACTCACAGATTTTAAGATTCCTTTTCATGAAGCAGTTTTGAAACACTCTTTTCGTAGCGTCTGCAAGTGGATATTTGTACCGATTTGCGGCCTTCAGTGGAAACGGGAATATCTTCACATAAAAACTAGACTGAAGCATTCTCAGAAACTTCTTTGTGACTTGTGCATTGAACTCACACATTTGAACTTTCCTTTTGATAGAGCTGTTATGAAACACTCTTTTTGTAGTATCTGCAAGTGGATATGTGGAACACTTTGAGGCCTTCGGTGGAAATGGCAATATCTTCACATAATAACTAGAGAGAAGCATTCTCAGAAACTACTTTGTGATATGTGCATTAAACTCACTGAGTTGAACCTTTCTTTTGATAGATCAGGCTTGAAACACTCTTTTTGTAGAATCTACAAGTGGACATTTTGAGAGCTTTGAGGTCTGCAGTGGAAAAGCAAATATCTTCACACAGAAACTAGACAGAAGTATTCTCAGAAACTTCTTTGTGATGTGTGCTTCCACCTCCCAGATTTGAACCTTTTTTTTTGATAGAGCAGTTTTGAAACACTCTTTTTGCAGAATCTGCAAGTGAACATTTTGAACGGTTTGATACCTTTGGTGGAAAAGGAAATATCTTTACATAGAAACTAGACAGAATTATTCTCAGAAACTTCTTTGTGATGTGTATATTCAACTCCCAGAGTTGAACCTTTCTTTTGATAGAGCAGTTTTGAAACACTCTTTTTGTAGAATCTGCAAGTGGATATTTGGAGCGCTTTGAGGCCTTGGAAACGGATGCATTTTCACATAGCAAGTAGACAGAAGTATTCTCAGAAACTTCTTTGTGATGTCTGCATTCAACTCACAGAGTTGAACCTTCCTATTGATGGAGCAGTTTTGAAACATTGTTTTTGTAGAATTTGCAAGTGGATTTTACAGCGCTTTGAGGATTTTAGAGCAAATGAATAAATGTAATCCACCATATAAAGAGAACCAAACACAAAAACCACATGATTATCTCAATAGATGCAGAAAAAGCCTTTGAAAAAATTCAACAACCCTTCATGCTAAAAACTCTCAATAAATTCGGTATTGACGGGACGTATTTCAAAATAATAAGAGCTGTCTATGAGAAACCCACAGCCAATATCATACTGAATGGGCAAAAACTGGAAGCATTCCCTTTGAAAACTGTCACAAGACAAGGATGCCCTCTCTCACCACTCCTATTCAACATAGTGTTGGAAGTTCTGGCCAGGGCAATGAGGCAGGAGAAGGAAATAAAGAGTATTCAATTAGGAAAAGAGGAAATCAAATTGTCCCTGTTTGCAGACGACACGATTGTATATCTAGAAAACCCCATTGTCTCAGGCCAAAATCTCCTGAAGCTGTTAAGCAACTTCAGCAAAGTCTCAGGATACAAAATCAATGTACAAAAGTCACAAGCATTCTTATACAACAACAACAGACAAACAGAGAGCCAAATCATGAGTGAACTCCCATTCACAATTGCTTCAAAGAGAATAAAATACCTAGGAATCCAACTTACAAGGGATGTGAAGGACCTCTTCAAGGAGAACTACAAACCACTGCTAAAGGAAATAAAAAAGGATAAAAACAAATGGAAGAACATTCCATACTCATGGGTAGGAAGAATCAATATCGTAAAAATGGCCATAGTGCCCAAGGTAATTTACTGAACTTTTCTTTTGATAGAGCAGTTTTGAAACACTCTGTTTGTAAAGTCTGCAAGTGGATATTAGGAGGATTTTGAGGCCTTCTTTGGAAAAGGGAATATCTTCACAGAAAAATTAGACCGAAGTATTCACTGAAACTTCTTTGTGATGTGTGCATTCAACTCACAGATTTGAACCTTCCTTTTGATAGAGCAGTTTTGAAACACTCTTTTTGTAGATTTTGCAAGTGGATATTTAGAGCGCTTTGAGGCCTATGGTAGAAAAGTAAATATCTTCATATAAAAACTACACAGAATCCTTCTCAGAAAGTACTTTGTTATATGTGCGTTCAACTCACAGAGTTTAACCTTTCTTTTGATAGAGCAGTTTTGAAACACTCTGTTTGTAAAGTCTGCAAGTGAATATTTGGAGCACTTTGAGGCTTTCTTTGGAAACGGGAATATCTTCACTTAAAAGTAGATGGAAGTATTCTCAGAAACTTCTTTGTGATGTCTGCACTTTATTCACAGAGTTGAACCTTCCTTTCTTTAGAACAGTTTTGAAACACTATTTTTGTAGAATTTGCAAGTGGATGTTTACAAAGCTTTGGGGCCTGTGGTAGAAAAGGAAGTATCTTCATAGAAAAACAACACAGAAGCATTCTCAGAAACTACTTTGTGATGTTTGCATTCAACTCACAGAGGTAAATATTCCTTTCGATAGAGCAGTTTTGAACCACCCTTTTTGTAGGATCTGCAAGTGGATATTTGGATAGCTTTGAGGATTTCGTTGGAAACGGGAATGTCTTCATAGAAAATTTAGACAGAAGCATTCTCAGAACCTTGATTGTGATGTGTGTTCTCCACTAACAGAGTTGAACCTTTCTTTTGACAGAACTGTTTTGAAACATTCTTTTTATAGAATCTGGAAGTGGATATTTGGAAAGCTTTGAGGATTTCGTTGGAAACGGGAATATCTTCATATAAAATCTAGAAAGAAGCATTCTAAGAAACATCTTAGGGATGTTTACATTCAAGTCACAGAGTTGAACATTCCCTTTCACAGAGCAGGTTTGAAACAATCTTCTCGTACTATCTGGAAGTGGACATTTTGAGCTCCTTGGGGCCTATGCTGAAAAAGGAAATATCTTCCGACAAAAACTAGACAGAAGCATTCGCAGAATCACGTTTGTGATGTATGCACTCAACTGTCAGAATTGAACCTTTGTTTGGACAGAGCACTTTTGAAACACTCTTTTTGTAGAATCTGCAGGTGGATATTTGGCTAGCTTTGAGGATTTCGTTGGAAACGGTAATGTCTTCAAAGAAAATCTAGACAGAAACATCCTCAGAAACATCTTCGTGATGTTTGCAATCAAGTCACAGAGTTGAACCTTCCGTTTCATAGAGCAGGTTGGAAACACTCTTTTTGTAGTATCTGGAAGTGGACATTTGGAGCGCTTTCAGGCCTATGGTGAAAAAGGAAATAGCTTCCCATAAAAACGACATAGAAGCTATCTCAGGAACTTGTTTATGATGCATCTAATCAACTAACAGTGTTGAACCTTTGTACTGACAGAGCAGTTTGAAACAGTCTTTTTTTGGAATCTGCAAGTGGATATTTGGATCGCTTTGAGGATTTCGTTGGAAACGGGATGCAATATAAAACGTACACAGCAGCATACTCAGAAAATACTTTGCCATATTTCCATTCAAGTCACAGAGTGGAACATTCCCATTCATAGAGCAGGTTTGAAACACTCTTTTTGTAGTATCTGGAAGTGGACATTTGGAGCGCTTTCTTACCTGTGGTGAAAAAGGAAATATCTTCCCATAAAAACAAGACAGAAGCATTCTCAGAAACTTTTTTGTGATGTGTGTCCTCAACTAACGGACTTGAACCTTTCTTTTCATGCAGTACTTCTGGAACACTCTTTTTGAAGATTCTGCATGTGGATATTTGGATGGCTTTGAGGATTTCGTTGTAAACGGGATTACATATAAAAAGTAGACAGCAGCATTCAGAAACTTCTTTGTGGTGTCTGCATTCAAGTCACAGAATTGAACATTCCCTCACATAGAGCAGTTGTGAAGCACTCCATTTGTAGTATCTCGAAGTGGATATTTGGAGGGCTTTGTAGCCTATCTGGAAAAAGAAAATATCTTCCCATGAATGCGAGATAGAAGCAATCTCAGAAACTTGTTTATGCTGTATCTACTCAACTAACTGTGCTGAACCTTTCTATTGATAGAGCAGTTTTGAGACACTCTTCTTTTGGAATCTGCAAGTGGATATATGGATAGATTTGAGGATTTCGTTGGAAACGGGATTACATATAAAAAGTAGACAGCAGTATTCTCAGAAACTTCTTTGTGATGTTTGCATCCAGCTCTCAGAGTTGAACATTCCCTTTCATAGAGTAGGTTTGAAACCCTCTTTTTATAGTGTCTGGAAGCGGGCAATTGGAGCGCTTTCAGGCCTATGCTGAAAAAGGAAATTACCCATAGAAACTAGACAGAAGCATTCTGAGAATCACGTTTGTGATGTGTGTACTCAACTAAGAGAGTTGAACCATTCTTTTGATACAGTAGTTTTGAAAAACTGTTTTTGTAGAATCTGCAAGTGGATATTTGGACGTCTTTGATGCCTTCATTGTAAACGGTATTCCTTCATATGAAAGATAAACAGAAGAATTCTCCGAAACTTCTTTGTGATGTGTGCATTCTACTCAAAGAGTTGAACATTCCTTTCTATATAGAAGTTTTTAAACACTCTTTTTCTAGAATTTCCAAGTGGATATTTAGTGCGCTTTGAGGCCTATGTTAGAAAATGAAATGTCTTCATATAAAAAATAGAGATAATCATTCTCAGAAACAATTTTGTGATGTGTGCGTGCAACTCACAGAGCTTAACTTTCTTTTGATGGGTCTGATTTGAAACACTTTTTTTGTAGAATTTGCAAGTGTATATTTATTGCTCTTTAAGACCTGTGGTAGAAAAGGATATCTCTTCACATAAAAACTAGACAGAAGCATTCTCAGAGACCACATTGTGATGCTTGCATTCAACTCACAGAGTTGAACATTCCTCTTGAGAGAGCAGTTTTGAAACAGTCTTTTTGTAGGCTCTGCTAGTGGATATTTGACCTCTTTGTGACCTTCGTTGGAAACAGGATTTCTTCATTTGAAAATTAGAAAGAAGATTTCTCAGAAACTTCTTTGTGATGTGTGCATTTATTTCACAGAGTTGAATTTTGCTTTCAATAGAGTAGTTTTGAAACACTCTTTTTGTAGAATTTCCAAGTGAATATTTAGAGTGGTTTAAGGCCTAACCTAGAAAAGGAAATATCTTCATATGGAAACTACACAGAATCATTCTCAGAAACTACTTCATGATGTGTGCGTTCAACTCAAAGAGTTTAACCTTTCTTTGGATGGGGCAGTTTTGAAACACTCTTTTTGTAGTATCTGCAAGTGGATATTTTGACCTCTTTGTGGCCTTCGTTGGAAACGGGAATTTCTTCACTTAAAAAGTAGACAGAAAAATTCTCAGAAACTTCTTCGTGATGTGTATGTTCAATTCACAGAGTTGAACCTTCCTTTCGATAGAGCAGTTTTGAAACACTCTTTTTATTGTATTTTCAACTGGATATTTAGAGTGGTTTAAGGCCTATGGTAGAAAAGGATATATCTTCATATAACAACTAGACAGAATCATTCTCAGAAACTACTTTGTGATCTCTGCGTTCAACTCACAGAGTTTAACATTTCTTTTGATAGAGCAGTTTTGAAACACCGCTTTTGTAGAATTTGCAATTGTATATTGACAGCACTTAGACGCCTATTTTAGAAAACGAAATATCTTCACATAAAAATTAGAAACATTCTCAGAAACTACATTGGGATGTTTGCATTCAATGCACTGTGTTGAACATTCCCCTTGGTGTAGCAGTTTTGAAACATTTTTTTTCTAGAATCTGCAAGTGGATATTTAGACCTCTTTGAGACCTTCGTTGGAAACTGGATTTCTTCATATAAAAACTAGACAGAAAGACTCTCAGAAACTTCTTTTTGATGTGTGCATTCAACTCACAGAGTTGAAACTTCCTTTCGATAGAGCAGTTTTGAAAAACTCTTTTTGCAGAATTTCCAAGTGGATATTTAGATCGCCTTGAAGCCTATGGTAGAAAAGGAAATATCTTCATATAAAAATTATACAGAAACTTTCTCAGAAACTAGATTGTGATTTGTGCTTTCAATTCACTGAATTTAACCTTTCTTTTGGTAGAGCAGTTTTGAAACACTATGTTTGTAAAGTCTGCAAGTGTATATTTGGAGCACTTTAAAGCCTTCTTTGGAATCAGGAATATCTTCACATAAAAAGTAAACAGAAGTATTCTCAGAAACTTCTTTGTGTTGTCTGCACTCAACTAACAGAGTTTAACCTTCCTTTTGATAGAGCAGTTTTGAAACACTCATTTTGTAGAGTTTGCGAGTGGATATTAAGAGCGTTTTTTGGCCTATGGTAGAAAAGGAAATATCTTCATATTAAAAATACACAGAGGCATTCTCAGAAACTACTTTGTGATGTTTGCATTAAACTCACAGAGTTGTACATTACTTTCGATAGAGTAGTTTTGTAACACTCTTTTTGTAGACTCTACAAGTGGATATTTGGACCTCTTTGAGGCCTTCGTTGGAAACGGGACTTTCTTCATATAAAAACTAGACAGAAGAATTCTCAGAAACTTGTTTATGATGTGTGCATTCAATTCACAGAGTTGAACTTTTCTTTCAATAGAGCAGTTTTGAATCACTCTTTTTGTAGAATTTCCAAGTGGATATTTAGAGCTGTTTGAGACCTATGGTAGAAAAGGAAATATCTTCATATAAAAACTAGACAGAATCATTCTCAGAAACTACTTTGTGATGTGTGCATTCAACTCACATAGTTTAACATTTCTTTTGATAGAGCAGTTTTGAAACACCACTTTTGTAGAATTTGCAAGTGTATATTCAGAGCGCTTTGAGGCCTATGGTAGAAAATGAAATATCTTCACATACCAACGAGGCAGAAGCATTCTCAGAAACTACTGTGTGATGTTTGCATTCAACTGACAGAGTTGGACATTCCTCTTGATGGAGCAGTTTTGAAACTCTCCTTTGTAGAATCTGCAAGTGGATATTTGGAACTCTTTGAGGCCTTCGTTGGAAACGGGAATTTCTTCACTTGAAAAACAGACAGAAGAAATCTCTGAAACTTTCTGTGACATGGACATTCAACTCACAGAGTTGAATCTTTCTTTTGATAGAGCAGTTTTGAAACACTCTTTTTGTAGAATTTCCAAGTGGATATTTAGTGCGCTCTGAAGCCTGTGGTAGAAAAGGAAATATCTTCATAGAAAAACTACACAGAAGCATTCTGAGATACTACTTTGTGTTGTTTGCATTCAACTCACAGAGTTGAACATTCCTTTTGATAGAGCAGTTTTGTAACACTCTTTTTGTAGAATCTGCAAGTGGTTATTAGGACTTCTTAGAGGCCTTCTTTGGAAACGGGATTTCTTCCTATAAAAAGTAGACAGAAGAATTCCCAGAAACTTCTTTGTGATGTGTGCATTCAACTCACAGAGTTGAAACTTCCTTTCAATACAGCAGTTTTGAAACACTATTTTTGAAGTATTTTCAAGTGAATATTTAGGGCGCCTTGAAGCCTATGGTAAAAAAGGGAATGTCTTCACATAGAAATTAGACAGAACCTTTCTCAGAAACTAGTTTGTGATGTGTGCTTTAAACTCACTGAGTTTAACCTTTCTTTTGTTAAAGCAGTTTTGAAACACTCTGTAAAGTCTGCAAGTGGATATTTGGAATGCTTTAATGCCTTCTTTGTAAAGGGGAATATCTTCACATAAAAGTAAACAGAAGTATTCTCAGAAACTCCTTTGTGATGTCTTCACTCAACTAACAGGGTTGAACCTTCCCTTTGATAGTGCAGTTTTGAAACACTCTTTTTGTAGAATTTGCGAGTGGATATATAGAGCGTTTTGGGGCCTATGCTAGAAAAGGAAATATCTTCATATTAAAACTACACAGAGGCATTCTCAGAAACTACTTGTTGATGTTTGCATTCAACTCACAGAGTTGAACATTCCTTTTGGTAGAGCACTTTTGAAACACTCTTTTTATAGGATATGCAAGTGGATATTTTGACCTATTTGAGGCCTTCCTTGGAAACGGGATTTCTTCATTTAAAAACGAGATAGAAGAATTCACAGAAACCTCTTTGTGGTGTGTGCATTCAGTACACAGAGTTGAACCTTCCTTTCGATAGAGCAGTTTTGAAACTCTTTTTACATAATTTCCAAGTGGATATTTAGAGCGCTTTGAGGTCTATGGTTAAAAACGAAATATCTTCATATAAAAACCAGACAGAATCATTCTCAGAAACTACTTTGTGATGTGTGCGTTCAACTCACAGAGTTTAACCTTTCTTTTCATGGAGAAATTTTGAAACCCTCTTTTTGTAGAATTTTGAAGTGGATATTTGGAGCACGTTGAAGCCTATGGTAGAAAAGGAAATATCTTCACATAAAAACTAAACAGAAGCATTCTCAGAAACTACTGTGTGATGTTTGCATTCAACTCACAGAGTTGAACATTCCTCTTGATGGAGCAGTTTTGAAACACTCTTTTTGTGGAATCTGCAAGTGGATATTTGAAGCTCTTTGAGGCCTTCATTGGAAACGGGCTTTCTTCTTATGAAAGCTAGACAGAAGAATTCTCAGAAACATCTTTGTGTTCTATGCATTCAATTCACAGAGTTGAATCTTCCTTCCAATAGAGCAGTTTTGAAACACTCTTTTTGAGGAATTTCCAAGTGGATATTTAGAGTGGTTTGAGGCCTTTGGTAGATAAGAAATTATCTACATATAAACACTAGACAGAATAATTCTCAGAAACTACTCTGTGATGTGTGCGTTCAAATCACAGAGTTTAACCTTCTTTTCAATAGAACAGTTTTGAAACACTTTTTTTGTAGAATTTCCAAGTGGATATTTAGTGCCCTTTGAAGCCTATGTTAGAAAAGGAACTATCTTCATAGAAAAACAACACAGGAGCATTCTCAGAAACCAGTTTGTGATGTGTGCATTGAATTCACAGAGTTTAACCTTTCTTTTGAATGGAGAAGTTTTGAAACACTCTTCTTGTATGATTTGCAAGTGTATATTTAGGGCGCTTTGTAGCCTGTGGCAGAAAGTGAAATATCTTCACATAAAAAGTAGAGTGAAGCATTCTCAGAAGCTAATTTGTGATGTTTGCATTCAACTCACAGAGCTGAACAATCATTTGATAGAGCAGTTTTGAATCACCCTTTTTGTAGATTCTGCAAGCGGACATTTGGACCGCTGTGAGGCCTTCGTTGAAAACGGGCATATCTTCACATAAAAATCAGACAGAAGGATTCCCAGAAACTTCTTAGTGATGTGTGCATTCAACTTACAGATTTTAACTTTTCTTTTGATAGGGCAGTTTTGAAACACTCTTTCTGTAGAATTTGCTAGTGGATATGTGCCTCCCTTTGAGGCTTATTTTGGAAAAGGAAATATCTTCACATAGAAAGTAGAAGGAATCATTCTCAGAAACTACTTTTTGATGTGTGACTTCAACTCACAGAGTTGAACCTTCCTTTTGATAGAGCATTTTTGAAACACACTTTTTGTAGAATCTGCAAGTGGATTTTTGGAGGGCTTTGAGGCCTACTTTTGAAACGGGTATATTTTCACAGAGAAAGTAGACAGAAGTATTCTCAGAAACTTCTTTGTGATGTCTGCATTCAACTCACTGAGCTGAACCTGCCTTTGGATAGAGCAGTTTTGTACACTCATTTTGTAGAATTTCCAAGTGGATATTTAGAGTGCTGCATGTCCTATGGTAGAATAGGAAGTATTTTCATAAAAAAGTAGACAGAAGCATTCTAAGAAACTACTTTGTGATGTTTCCATTCAACTAACAGAGTTGAACATTCCTTTTGATAGAGAAGTTTTGAAACACTCTTTTTGTGGAATCTGCAAGTGGACATTTAGACCGCTTTGAGTCCTTGGTTGGAAACGGGATTATCTTCACATAAAAACCAGAGAGAAGCATTCTCAGAAACTTCTTTGCGATGTGTGCATTCAACTCACAGAGGTGAATATTTCTTTTGATATAGCAGTTTTCTAACACTCTTTTTGTAGAATCTTCAAGTGGATATTTTATTCCCTTTGAGGCCCATGTTGGAAAAGGAGTTATCTTCACATAAAAATTAGAATGATACATTCTCATAAACTTCTTTGAGATAGATAAGTGAATTCAACTCACAGACTTGAACCTTTCTTTTGACACAGCAGTTTTGAAACGCTCTGTTTGTAACGTTTGCAAGTGGACATTTGTAGTGCTTTGAGGCCTTCTTTGGAAAGGGGAATATCTTCCCATAAAAAGTAGACATAAGTATTCTCTGAAACTTCTTTGTGATGTCTGCACTCAACTCACAGAGATCAACCTTCCCTTTGATAGAGCAGTTTTGAAACACTCTTTTTGTAGAGTTTGCAAGTGGAGATATAGAGCGTTTTGGGGCCTATGGTAGAAAAGGAAATATATTCATAGAAAAACTACACGGAAGCATGCTCAGAAACTGCTTTGTGATGTTTGCATTCAACTCACAGAGTTGAATATTCCTTTTGATAGAGCAGTTTTGAAACATTCTTTTTGTAGGATCTGCAAGTGAATATTTGGACCTCTACGAGGTCTTCGTTGGATACGGGAAATTCTTCACTTAAAAACTAGACAGGGCCGGGAACGGTGGCTCAAGCCTGTAATCCCAGCACTTTGGGAGGCCGAGGCGGGTGGATCATGAGGTCAGGAGATCGAGACCATCCTGGCTAACAAGGTGAAACCCCGTCTCTACTAAAAATACAAAAAATTAGCCGGGCGCGGTGGCGGGCGCCTGTAGTCCCAGCTACTCGGGAGGCTGAGGCAGGAGAATGGCGTGAACCCGGGAAGCGGAGCTTGCAGTGAGCCGAGATTGCACCACTGTAGTCCGCAGTCCGGCCTGGGTGACAGAGCGAGAATCCGTCTCAAAAAAAAAAAAAAAAAAAAACTAGACAGAAGAAACTCAGAAACTATTTGTGATGTGTGCATTCAGCTCACAGAGTTGAACCTTCCTTTTGATAGAGCAGTTTTAAAACACTCTTTTTGTAGAATTCCCAACTGGATATTTAGAGCACTTTGAAGCCTATGGTAGAGAAGGAAATATCTTCATAGAAAAGCTACACAGAAGCATTCTCAGAAACTACTTTTTGATGTTTGCATTCAACTCACAGAGTTGAACTTTCCTTTTGATAGACCAGTTTTGTAACACTCTTTTTGTAGAATCTGCAATTGGACATTTTGGCCTCTTTGAGGCCTTCGTAGGAAATGGGATTCCTTCATATAAAAACTAGACAGAAGAATTCTTAGAAATTTCTTTGTGATGTGTGCATTCAAATCACAGAGTTGAAACTTCCTTTCAATAGAGCAGTTTTGAAACACTCTTTTTGTAGAAATTCTAAGTGGATATTTAAGGGGTTTGAGGCCTATGGTAGAAAAGGAAATATCTTCATATAAAAACTAGACACAATGATTCTCAGAAACTAGTTTGTGATGTGTGTGTTCAACTCACAGATTTTAACCTTTCTTTTGATGGAGCAGTTTTGAAACACTCTTTTCCAAAGTTTGCAAGTGTGGATTTAGAAGGCTTTGAGGCCTATGGTACAAAAGGAAATATCTTCACATAAAAACTAGACAGAAGCATTCTCCTAAACTACTTTGTGATGTTTGCATTCAACTCACAGAGTTTAACCTTTCTTTTGATAGAGAAGTTTTGAAACACACTTTTTGTAGAATTTGCAAGTGCATATTTAGAGATCTTTGGGTCTATGGTAGAAAAGGAAATATCATCCCAAAAAACTAGACAGAAGCATTCTCAGAAACCACTTTGTGATGTTTGCATTCAACTCACCGGGTTGAACAATCATTTGATAGAGCAGTTTTGAAACACCCTTTTTGTGTAATCTGCAAGTGGACATTTGGACCGCTTTGAGGACTTCATTGGAAATGGGTATATCTTCAAATAAAAATCAGACAGAAGGATTCCCAGAAACTGCTTTGTGATGTGTGCATTCAACTTACAGAGTTAAACTTTTCTGTTGATAGAGCAGTTTTGAAACACTCTTTTTGTAGAATCTCCAAGTGGATATGTGCCTCCCTTTGAGGCTTATGTTGGAAAAGGAAATATCTTCATATAAAAACAAGAAAGAATCATTCTCAGAAACTTATTTTTGATGTGTGCCTTCAACTAACAGAGTTGAACCTTCCTTTTGATAGAGCATTTTTGAAACAATCTTTTTGTAGAATCTGCAAGTGGATCTTTGGAGTGCTTTGAGGCCTACTTTTGAAACGGGTATAACTTCACATAGAAAGTAGACAGAAGTATTCTCAGAAACTTCTTTGTGAGGTCTGCATTCAACTCACAGAGTTGAAACTTCCTTTGGATAGAGCAGTTTTGAAACACTCTTTTTGTAGAATTTGCAAATGAATATTTAGAGAGCTTTGTGTCGAATAGGAAGTATTTTAATAAAAAAAGTAGACAGAAGCATTCTAAGAAACTATTTTGTGATGTTTCCATTCAGCTAACAGAGTTGAACATTCCTTTGTATAGAGAAGTTTTGAAACAGTCTTTTTGTGGAATCTGCAAGTGGATATTTCGACCGATTTGAGGCCTTCGTTGGAAACGGGATTATCTTCACATAAAATCCAGAGAGAAGCATTCTCAGAAACTTCTTTGTGATATGTGTATTCAACTCACAGAGGTGAATATTTCTTTTGATATAGCAGTTTACAAACACTCTTTTTGTAGGATCTTCAAGTGGATATTTTATTCCCTTTGAGGCCCATGTTGGGAAAGGAGTTAACTTCACATAAAAACTAGAATGAATCGTTCTCATAAACTTCTTTGTGATGAGTGAATTCAACTCACAGAGTTGAATCTTTCTTTTGACAGCCGTTTTGAAATGCTCTGTATGTAAAGTTTGCAAGTGGATAATTGGAGGTCTTTGAGGTCTTTATTGGAAACGGGAATATCTTCACATATAAAGTAGACATAAGTATTCTCTGAAACTTCTTTGTAATGTCTGCACTCAACTCACAGAGATAAACCTTCCCTCTGATAGAGCAGTTTTGAAATAGTCTTTTTGTAGAATTTGCAAGTAGATATTTAGAGTGTTTTGTGGCCTATGGTAGAAAAGGAAATATATTCATAGAAAAACTACACAGAAGCATTCTCAGAAACTGCTTTGTGATGTTTGCATTCAACTCAAAGACTTGAACATTCCTTTTGATAGAGCAGTTTTGAAACACTCTTTTTGTAGGATCTGCAAGTGGATATTTGGACCTCTATGAGGCCTTCGTTGGAAACGAAAAATTCTTCACTTAAAAACTAGAGAGAAGAAATCTCAGAAATTTTTTGTGATGTGTACACTCAACTCAGAATTGAACCTTCCTTTTGATGGAGCAGTTCTGAAACACTGTTTTTGTAGAATTTCCAACTGGATATTTAGAGCGCTTTGAAGCCTATGGTATAGAAGGAAATATCTTCATAGAAAAAGTACACAGAAGCATTCTCAGAAACTACTTTGTGATGTTTGCATTCAACTCACAGAATTGAACATTCTTTTTGATAGAGCAATTTTGTAACACCCTTTTCATAGAATCTGCAAGTGGATATTTGGAACTCTTTGAGACCTTCATTGGAAACGGGATTTCTTCCTATGAAAACTAGACAGAAGGATTCTCAGAAACTTCTTTGTGATGTGTGCATTCAGTTCACAATGTTGAACCTTCCTTTCGATAACCAGTTTTGAAACACTCTTTTTGTAGAATTTCCAAGTGGATATTTAGAGCTATTTGCGGCCTATTGTAGAAAAGGAAATATCTTCATATAACCACTAGACAGAATCATTCTCAGAAACTGCTTTGTGATATTTGCATTCAATTCACAGAGTTTAACACTTCTTTTGATAGAGCAGTTTTGAAACAATCTTTTTTGTGGAATTTGAAAGTGAGTATTTAGAGGGCTTTGAGGCCTATGGTACAAAAGGAAATATCTTCATATGAAAACTAGACAGAACCATATTCAGAAACTACTTTGTGATGTGTGCTTTCAACTCACAGAGTTTAACCTTTCTTTTGATGGAGCAGTTTTAAGACACACTTTTTGTAGAATTTGCAAGTGTATATTTAGAGCACTTTGAGGCATATGGTAGAAAAGGAAATATCTTCACGTAAAAAGTAGACAGAAGCATTCTCAGAAACTACTTTGTAATGATTGCATTCAACTCACAGAGTTGAACATTGCTCTTGATAGAGCAGTGTTGAAACACTCTTTTTGTAGAATCCGCAAGTGGATACTTGGACCTCTTTCAGGCCTTCATTGGAAGCGAGATCTCCTCATTTAAATACTTGACAGAAGAATTTTCAGAAAATTCTTTGTGATGTGTGCATTCAACTCACAGAGTTTAACCATCCTTTCGATAGAGCAGTTTTGAAACAATCTTTTTGTAGAATTTCCAAGTGGATATCTTGTGCACTTTGAGGCCTTTGGTCTAAAAGGAAATATCTTCATATAAAAACTTGACAGAATCATTCTCAGAAAGTACTTTGTGATGTGTGAGTTCAACTCTCAGAGTTTAACATTTCTTTTCATGGTGCAGTTTTGAAACACTCTTTTTGTAGAATTTGCAAGTGTATATTTAGAGCGCTTTGAGGCCTATAGTAGAAAAGGAAATTTCTTCACATAAAAACTAGACAGAAGCACCCTCAGAAACTGCGTTGTGGTGTTTGCATTCAACTAAGAGAGTTGAACATTCCCCTTGATAGAGCCGTTTTGAAACACTCTTTTTGTAGTATCTGCAAGTGGATATTTGGAACTCTTTGAGACCTTCGTTGGAAACCGGATTTCTTCATTTAAATATGAGACAGAAGAATTCTCAGAAACTTCTTTGTGATGTGAGCATTCAACTCACAGAGTTGAACGTTCCTTTTGATACACAAGTTTTGAAACACTCTTTTTGTAGAATTTCCAATTGGATTTTTAGAGCGCTTGGAGGCCTATGGTAGAAAAGGAAATATCTTCACATAAAGACTAGACAGAATCATGCTCAGAAACTAGTTTGTGATGTGTGCGTTCAACTCACCCAGTTTAACATTTCTTTTGATGGGGAAGTTTTGAAACACTCTTTTTGTAGAATTTGCAAGTGTATATTTAGAGTGTTTTGAGGCCTATGGTAGGAAAGGAAATATCTTCACATAAAAACTAGACAGAAGAATTCTCAGAAACTACTTTGTGAGTTTTGCATTCAATTAACAGAGTTGAACATTCCTCTTGATAGAGCAGTTCTGAAACACTCTTTTTGTAGGATCTGCAACTGGTTATTTTGACCTCTTTGAGGTCTTCGTTTGAAACGGGATTTCTTCATTTAAATACTGGACAGAAGAATTCTCAGAAACGTCTTTGTGTTGTGTGCATTCAACTCACAGAGTTGAACTTTCATTTTGATAGAGCAGTTTTCAAACACTCTTTTTGTAAAATTTCCAACTGGATATTCGGAGCGCTTGGAGCCGTAAGGTACAAAAGGAAATATCTTCATATAAAAACTAGACAGAACCATTGTCAGAAACTACATTGTGATGTGTGCATTCAACTTTCATAGTTTAACCTTTCTTTTGATAGAGCAGTTATGAAACACTCTTTTTTTTTTTAGAATTAGCAAGTGTGTATATAGAGGGATTCTGGGCCCATGGTAGAAAAGGAAATATCTTTACATAAAAACTAGACAAAATCATTCTCAGAAACTACTTTGTGATGTGTGTGTTGCACTCACAGAGTTTATCCTTTCTTTTGATGACGCAGTTTTGAAACACTCATTTAGTAGAATTTTCAAGTGGATATTTAGAGCGCTTTGAAGCCTATGATAGAAAAGGAAATATCTTCATAGAAAAACTACACAGAAGCATTCTCAGAAGCTACTTTGTGATGTTTGCATTCAACTCACAGAGTTGAACATTCCTTTTGATAGAGTGGATTTGTAACACTCTTTTTGTAGAATCTGTAAGTGGATATTTGGACCTCTCTGAAGCCTTCCTTGGAAACAGTAATTTCTTCATATGAAAACTAGACAGAAGAATACACAGAAACTTCTTTGTGATGAGTGCATTCAATTCACAGAGGTGAACCTTCCTTTCGATAGAGCAGTTTGGAAACACTCTTTTTGTAGAATTTCCAAGTGGATATTTAGAGCACTTGGAGGCTATGTTAGAAAAGGAAATGTCTTCATATAAAAACTAGACAGAAGTTTTCTCAGAAACGATTTGTGATGTGTACATTCAATTCACAGAGTTTAGCTTTTCTTTTGATAGAGCAGTTACAAAACACTCTTTTTGTAGAATTTGCAAGTGTGTATTTAGAGTGCTTGGAGGCCTATGGTAGAAAAGGAAATATCTTCACATAAAAACTAGACAGAAGCATTCTCAGAAACCACATTATGATGTGTGCGTTGAACTCACAGAATTTAATCTTTCTTTTGATGGAGCACTTTTGCAAAACTTTTTTTGTAGAATTTCCAAGTGGATATTTAGAGCGCTTTGAAGCCTGTGATAGAAAAGGAAATATCTTCATAACAAACTACACAGAAGCATTCTCAAAAACTACTTTGCGATGTTTGCATTCAACTCACAGTGTTGAACATTCCTCTTGATAGATGTGTTTTGAAACACTGTTTTTGTAGACTCTGCAAGTGGATATTTGGACGTCTTTGAGTCCTTCTTTGGAAAAGGGATTTCTTCATATAACAACTAGACAGAAGATTTCTCAAAAACTTTGTGATGTGTCCATTCAACTCACAGACTTGAAACTTTCTTTTGATGGAGCAGATTTGAAACAGACTTTTTCTAGAATTTCCAGGTGGATATTTAGAGCACTTGGAGGCTTATGGTAGAAAAGGAAATATCTTCATATAAAAAGTAGTCAGAATCATTATCAGAAACTATTTTGTGATGTGCTCATTCAACTCACAGAGTTGAACCTTTCATTTGATAGAGCAGTTATGAAACACTCTTTTTGAAGTATTTGCCAGTGGATAATTGGAGCGCTTTGTGGCCTATGTTAGTAAAGGAATTATCTTCATAGAAAAACCAGACAGAAGCATTCTCAGAAATTTCTTTGTCATGTGTGCGTTGAACTCACAGAGTTGAATCTTTCTTTTGATAGAGCAGTTTTGAAACACTCTTTTTGTAGAATCCTCAAGTGGATATTTGGAGTGCTTTGAGGCCCAATGTAGAAAAGAAAATACCTTCATATAAAAACTTGAAGGAAGCATTCTCAGAAACTTCTTTGTGATGTTTGCATTCAACTCACGGAGATGAACATTCCTTTTGATAGAGCAGTTTTGAAAAACTCTTTTTGTGGAATCAGCAAGTGGATATTTGGACAACTTTGAGGCCTTTGTAGGAAACAGGATTATCTTCACATAAAAACCAGAGAGAAGAATTCTCAGAAACTTCTTTGCTATGTGTGCATTCAACGCACAGAAGTGAACTTTTCTTTTGACAGAGCAGTTTTTAAACACTCTTTTTGTAGAATCTTCAAGTGGATAATTCATTCCCTTTGGGGCCCATGTTGGAAAACGAATTATCTTCACATAAAAACTAGAAAGAAACATTCTTATAAACTTATTTGTGATGAGTGCATTCAACTCACAGAGTTGAACCTTCCTTTTGACAGAACAGTTTTGAAACACTCTTTAAAATGTCTGAAATTGGAAATTTGGAGGTTTTTTAGGCCTTCTTTGGAAACGGGAATATCTTCACATAAAAAGTAGACAGAAGTATTCTCAGAAACTTCCTTGTGATGTCTGCACTCAACTCACAGATTTGAACCTTCCTTTTTGATAGAGCAGTTTTGAAACACTCTTGTTGTAGAGTTTCCAAAGGGATATTTTCAGCGCTTTGAAGCCGATAGTAGAGAAGGACACATCTTTATAGAAAAACTACACAGAAGCATTCTCAGAAACTACTTTGTGATGCTTGCATTCAACTCACATTGTTGGACATTCCTTTTGATAGAGCAGTTTTGTTACACTCTTTTTGTAGAATATGTAAGTGGATATTTGGACCTCTTTGAGGCCTTCGTTGGAAACGGGATTTCTTCATGTAAAAACTAGACAGAAAAATTATCAGAAACTTCTTTGTGATATGTGCATTCAACTCACAGAATTTAACCTTCCTTTCGATAGAGCAGTTTTGAAATCCTCTTTTTGTAGAACTTCCAAGTGGATATTTAGTGTGCTTTGAGTCCTCATATAAAAACTAGACACAATGATTCTTAGAAACTAGATTGTGATGTGTGCATTCAACTCACAGATTTTAACCTTTGTTTTGAAGGAGCAGTTTTGAAACACTCTTTTTTCAGAATTTGCAAGTGTACATTTAGAGTGCTTTGAGGCCTATGGTAGAAAAGAAAATATCTTCACATAAAAACTAGACAGAAGCATTCTCATAAACTACTTTGTGATGTTTGCATTCAACTCACAGAATTGAACATTCCTCTTGATAGAGCAGTTTTCAAACACTCTTTTTGTAGTATCTGCAAGTGGATATTTGGACCTCTTTGAGGCCTTCATTGGAAATGGGATTTCTTCATGCAAATACTAGACAGTAGAATTCTCAGAAATTTCTTTGTGATGACTGTATTCAACTCACAGAGTTGAATATTATTTTCGATAGAGCAGTATTGAAACACTCTTTTTGAAGTACTTCCAAGTGGATATTTATAGTGCTTTGATGCTTCTGGTAGAAAAGGAAAAAACTTCATTTAAAAACTAGACAGAACCATTCTCAGAAACAACTTTGTGATGTGTGCGTTCAACTCACAGATTTGAACATTTCTTTTGATAGAGCAGTTATGAAACACTCTTTTTGTAGAATTTG
Source organism: Homo sapiens (assembly GCF_000001405.40). Lineage (NCBI taxonomy): Eukaryota > Metazoa > Chordata > Mammalia > Primates > Hominidae > Homo > Homo sapiens. The sequence continues at coordinate 43,954,334 of NC_000008.11, forward strand.
CAAGTTTGAATTTAGAGGGCTTTGAGGCCTATGGTAGAAAAGCAAATATCTTCATATAAAAACTAGACAGAAACTTTCTCAGAAACTACTTTGAGATGTGTGCATTGAACTCACAGAGTTTAACCTTCCTTTTGATAGAGCAGTTTTGAAACGCTCTTTTTGTAGAATTTGCAAGTGTATATTTAGAGATCTTTGGGGCCTATAGTAGAAACGGAAATATCTTCCCAAAAAACTAGACAGAAGCATTCTCAGAAACTACATTTGTGATGTTTGCATTCAACTCACGGAGTTGAACAATCATTTGATAGAGCTGTTTTGAAACACCCTTTTTGTGGAATCTGCAAGTGGACATTTGGACCGCTTTGAGGCCTTCATTGGAAATGGGTATATCTTCACATAAAAACCAGACAGAAGGATTCCCAGAAACTTCTTTGTGATGTGTGCATTCAGCATACAGAATTGAACTTTTCTGTTGATAGAGCAGTTTGAAACACTCTTTTTGTAGAATCTGCAAGTGGATATGTGCCTCCCTTTGAGGCTTATGTTGGAAAAGGAAATTTCTAACTGGATATTTAGAGCACTTTGAACCCTATGGTAGAGAAGGAAATACCGTCATAGAAAAGCTACACTGAAGCATTCTCAGAAACTGCTTTGTGATGTTTGCATTCAATTCACAGAGTTGAACATTCCTTTTGATAGACCCGTTTTGTAACACTCTTTTTGTAGGATCTGCAAGTGGATATTTGGGCCTCTTTGAGGCCTTCTTCAGAAACGGGATTTCTTCATATAAAAACTAGACAGAAGAATTCTCAGAAACTTCTTTGTGATGTGTGCATTCCACTCACAGAGTTGAACCTTCCTTTCAATAGAGCAGTTTTGAAACAGTCTTTTTGTAGAATTTCCAAGTGGATATTTAAGGGGTTTGAGGCCTATGGTAGAAAAGGAAATATCTTCATATAAATAGTAGACACAATGATTCTCAGAAACTTGTTTGTGATGTGTGCATTAAACTCACAGATTTTAACTTTCTTTTGAAGGAACAGTTTTGAAACACTCTTTTTGTAGAATTTGCAAGTGTGTATTTAGAGGGTTTTGAGGCCTATTTTACAAAAGGATATATCTTCACATAAAAACTAGACAGAAGCATTCTCCTAAACTACTTTGTGATGTGTGCGTTCAACACACAGAGTTTAACCTTTCTTTTGATGGAGCAGTTTTGAAACACACTTTTTGTAGAATTTCCAAGTGGATATTTAGAGCTTTTTGAAGTCTATTGTAGAAAAGGAAATATCGTCATAGAAAAACAACATGGAAGCATTCTCAGAAACTGCTTTGTGATGTTTGCATTCAACTCACAGAATTGAACATTCCTCCTGATAAAGCAGTTTTGAAACACCCTTTTTGTTGAATCAGTAAGTGGATATTTGGACCTCCTTGAGGCATTCTTTGGAAACGGGAATTTCTTCACTTAAAAACTAGGCAGAAGAAATCTCAGAAACTTTTTGTAATGTGTGCATTAAACTCACAGTTGTGAACCTTCCTTTTCATAGAGCAGTTTTGAAACACTCTTGTAGAATTTCCAAGTGGATGTTTGGTGCGCTTTGAAGCCTATGGTAGAAAAGGAAATATCTTCATAGAAAACTACACAGAAGCATTCTCACAAAGTATTTTGTGATGTTTGCATTCAACTCATAGAGTTGAACATTCCTCTTTATAGAGCAGTTTGAAGCACTTTTTTGTAGAATTTGCAAGTGGATGTTTGATTGCCTTTGATGCCTATGTTGGGAAAGGAATTATCTTCACATAAAAACTAGAAAGAAACATTCTCATAAACTTCTTTGTGATGAGTGCATTCAAATCAAGGAGTCGAACCTTCCTTTTGATAGAGCAGTTTTCAATCACTCTTTTGTAGAATCTCCATGTGGATATTTGGAGCGCTTTGAGGCCTTCTTTGGAAACGGGAATATCCTCACATAAAAAGTAGACAGAAGTATTCTCAGAAACTACTTTGTGATGTCTGCACTCATCTAACAGAATTGCAACTTCCTTTTGATAGAGCACTTTTGAAACACTCTTTCTGTTGAATTTGCAAGTGGACAATCAGAGCGCTTTGAGGCCTATGGTAGCAAAGGTAATATCTTCATAGAAAAACAACTACACAGAAGCATTCTCAGAAACTACTTTGTGAAATTTGCATTCGACTCACAGAGTTGAATGCGTCTTTTGATAGAGCAGTTTTGAAACACTGTTTTTGTAGAATATGCAAGTGGATATTTGGAACTCTTTGAGGCCTTCGTTGGAAACGGGAATTGCTTCAATTAAAAACTAGACAGAAGAATTTTCAGAAACTACCTTGTGATGTCTGCACTCAACGCACAGTGTTCAACCTTCTGAAACACTCTTTTTGTAGAATTTGCAAGTGGATATTTAGAGCGTTTTGGGGCCTATGGTAGAAAAGGAATTACCTTCACCCAAAAACCACACAGAAGCATTCTGAGAAAATGCTTTGTGATGTTTGCATTCAACTCACAGATTTTAACTTTTCTTTTGATGGCGCAGTTTTGAAACACTCTTTGTAGAATTTTCAAGTGGATATTTAGATCGTTTTGAGGCGTAAGGTAGGAAAGGAAATATCTTCTTAGAAAAACTACACAGAAGGATTCTCAGAAACTACTTTGTGATATTGGCATTTAACTCACAGAGTTGAACATTCCTTTTGATAGAGCAGTTGTGAAACACTTTTTGTAGAATCTGCAAGTGGATATTGGGACATCTCTGAGGCCTTCATTGGAAACGGGAATTTCTTCATATAAAAACTAGACAGAAGAATTCTCAGAAACTTCTTTGTGATGTGTGCATTCAATTCACAGAGTTGAACCTTCCTTTCAATAGAGCAGTTTTGAAACACTCTTCTTGTAGAATTTCCAAGTGGATATTTAGAGCAGTTAGAGGCCTATGGTACAAAAGGAAATGTCTTCAAATAAAAACAAGACAGAAGCATTCTCAGAAACTTCTTTGTGATGTGTGCATTCAACTCACAGAGTTGAACCTTCGTTTCGATAGAGCAGTTTTGAAACACGCTTTTTATCGAATTCCCAGCTGGATATTTAGAGCGCTTTGAGGCCTATGGTAGAAAAGGAAATACCTTCATAGAAAAACTACACAGAATCGTTCTCAGAAACTAATTTGTGAGGTTTGCATTCAACTCATAGAGTTGAACGTTCCTTTCATAGAGAAGTTTTGAATCACTTTTTTGTTGTTGTTGTTGAATCTGCAAGTGGATATTTAGACCGCGTTGAGGCCTTCATTGGAAACCGGTTTATCTTCACATAAATACCAGACAGAAGCATTCTCAGAACCTTCTTTGGGATGTGTGCATTCAACTCACAGAGGTGAAATTTTCTTTTGAAAGAGCAGTCTTGAAACACTATTTTTGTAGAATCTGCAAGTGGATACTTTATTCCCTTTGAGGCCTTTGTTGGAAAAGGAATTATCTTCACATAAAAATTAGAAAGAAACATTCTCGTATACTTCTTGGAGATGAGTGCATTCAACTCACAGAGTTGAAGATTCCTTTTGATAGAGCAGATTTGAAACACTCTGTTTATAAGTCTGCAAGTGGATATTTGGTTGGCTTTGAGGTCTTCTTTGGAAACGGTAATATCTTCACCTAAAAAGTAGACAGAGGTATTCTCAGAAACTTCTTGTGATGTCTGCACTCAACCCACAGAGTTCAACGGTCCTTTTGATAGAGAGGATTTGAAACACTCTTTGTGTAGAATTTGCAAGAGGATAATTAGAGCGCTTTGAGGCCTATGTTAGAAAACGGAATATCTTCATAGAAAAATTACACAGAAACATTCTCAGAAACTATTTTGGGATGTTTGTATTCAACTCAAGGAGTTATACATATCTTTTGATAGAGCAGATGTGAAACACTCTTTTTGTAGAATTTTCAAGTGGATATTTAGAGCGCTTTTATGCCTACGGTGGAAAAGGAAATATCTTCATAGAAAAATTACACAGAAGCATTCTCAGAAACTACTTTGGGATGTTTGCATTCAACTCACGGAGTTGAACATTCCTTTTTCATAGAGCAGTTTTGTAACACTCTTTTTGCAGAATCTGCAAGTGGATATTTGGACCTCTTTGAGTCCTTCGTTGGAAACGGGATTTCTTCATATAAAAACTAGACCAAAGAATTCTCAGAAACTTCTTTGTGAAGTGTGCATTCAACTCACAAGGATGAACCTTCCTTTCAATAGAGCAGTTTTTAAACACTCTTTTTGTAGAATTTCCAAGTGGATATTTAGAGCGCTTTGAAGTCTATGGTAGAAAAGGAAATATTTTCATATAAAAACTAGACAGAAAGGCTGGTTCAATATACACAAATCAATAAATGTAATCCATCATATAAACAGAGCCAAAGACAAAAACCACAGGATTATCTCAATAGATGCAGAAAAAGCCTTTGGCAAAATTCAACAACACTTCATGCTAAAAAGTCTCAATAAATTAGGTATTGATGGGACGTATTTCAAAATAATAAGAGCTATCTATGACAAACCCACAGCCAATATCATACTGAATGGGCAAAAACAGGAAGCATTCCCTTTGAAAACTGGCACAAGACAGGGATGCCCTCTCTCACCACTCCTATTCAACATAGTGTTGGAAGTTCTGGCCAGGGCAATTCTGCAGGAGAAGGACATAAAGGGTATTCAATTAGGAAAAGAGGAAGTCAAATTGTCCCTGTTTGCAGACGACACGATTGTATATCTAGAAAACCCCATTGTCTCAGCCCAAAATCTCCTGAAGCTGATAAGCAACTTCAGCAAAGTGTCAGGATACAAAATCAATGTACAAAAATCACAAGCATTCTTATACACCAACAATAGACAAACAGAGAGCCAAATCATGAGTGAACTCCCATTCACAATTGCTTCAAAGAGAATAAAATACCTAGGAATCCAACTTACAAGGGATGTGAAGGACCTCTTCAAGGAGAACTACAAACCACTGCTCAACGAAATAAAAGAGGATACAAACAAATGAAAGAACATTCCATGCTCATGGGTAGGAAGAATCAATATCGTGAAAATGGCCATACTGTCCAAGGTAATTTACAGATTCAATGCCATCCCCATCAAGCTACCAATGACTTTCTTCACAGAACTGGAAAAAACTACTTTAAAGTTAATATGGAACCAAAAAAGAGCCCGCATCGCCAAGTCAATCCTAAGCCAAAAGAACAAAGCTGGAGGCATCGCACTACCTGACTTCAAACTATACTACAAGGCTACAGTAACCAAAACAGCATGGTACTGGTACCAAAACAGAGATATAGATCAATGGAACAGAACAGAGCCCTCAGAAATAACGCCACATATGTACAACTATCTGATCTTTGACAAACCTGAGAAAAACAAGCAATGGGGAAAGGATTCCCTATTTAATAAATGGTGCTGGGAAAACTGGCTAGCCATATGTAGAAAGCTGAAACTGGATCCCTTCCTTACACCTTATACAAAAATCAATTCAACATGGATTCAAGACTTAAATGTTAGACCTAAAACTATAAAAAACCTAGAAGAAAACCTAGGCAATACCATTCAGGACGTAGGCATGGGCAAGGACTTCATGTCTAAAACACCTAAAGCAATGGCAACAAAAGCCAAAATTGACAAATGGGATCTAATTAAACTAAAGAACTTCTGCACAGCAAAAGAAACTACCATCAGAGTGAACAGGCAACCTAAAAAATGGGAGAAAATTTTCACAACCTACTCATGTGACAAAGGGCTAATATCCAGAATCTACAATGAACTCAAACAAATTTACAGGAAAAAAACAAACAACCCCATCAAAAAGTGGGTGAAGGACATGAACAGACAGTTCTCAAAAGAAGACATTTATGCAGCCAAAAAACACATGAAAAAATGCTCATCATCACTGGCCATCAGAGAAATGCAAATCAAAACTACAATGATATACCATCTCACACCAGTTAGAATGATGATCATTAAAAAGTCAGGAAACAACAGGTGCTGGAGAGGATGTGGAGAAATAGGAACACTTTTACACTGTTGGTGGGAATGTAAACTAGTTCAACCACTGTGGAAGTCAGTGTGGTGACTCCTCAGGGATCTAGAACTGGAAGTACCATTTGACCCAGCCATCCCATTACTGGGTATATACCCAAATGACTATAAATCATGCTGCTATTGTGGCATTATTCACAATAGCAAAGACTTGGAACCAACCCAAATGTCCAACAATGATAGACTGGATTAAGAAAATGTGGCTCGTATACACCGTGGAATACTATGCATCCATAAAAAAGGATGAGTTCATGTCGCTGTAGGGACATGGATGAAACTGGAAATCATCATTCTCAGTAATCTATCACAAGAACAAAAAACCAAACACCGCATATTCTCACTCATAGTTGGGAATTGAACAATGAGATCACATGGACACAGGAAGGGGAATATCACACTCTGGGGACTGTGGTGGGGTGGGGGGAGGGGGGAGGGATAGCATTGGGAGATATACCTAATGCTAGATGACGAGTTAGTGGGTGCAGCGCACCAGCATGGCACATGTATACATATGTAACTAACCTGCACAATGTGCACATGTACCCTAAAACTTAAAGTATAATAAAAAAAAATAAAAAACAAACAAACAAAAAAACCAGACAGAATCATTCTCAGAAACTCCTTTGTGATGTGTGGGTTCAACTCACAGAGTTTAACATTTCTTTCGATAGAATAGTTTTGAAGCACTCTGTTTGTAAAGTCTGCAAGTGAATATTTGATGCACTTTGAGGCCTTCTTTGGAAAAGGTAATATCTTCACATAAAAAGTAGACAGAAGTATTCTCAGAAACTTCTTTGTGATCTCTGCACTCCACTCAGAGATTTGAAACTTCCTTTTGATAGAGCAGTTTTGAAACACTATTTTTGTAGGATTTGAAAGTGAATATTTAGAGCGTTTTGGAGCCTATGTTGGAAAAGATAATATCTTCATTCAAAAACTACACAGAAGCATTCTCAGAAACTACTTTGATGTTTGCATTCAACTCACAGAGTTGAACATTCCTTTTGATAGAGCAGTTTTGTAACACTTTCTTTGTAGAATCTGCAAGTGGATATTTTGACCTCTCTGAGGCCTTCGTTGGAAACGGGAATTTCTACGTATAAAAACTAGACAGAAGAATTCTCAGAAACTTCTTTGTGATGTGTGCATTCAATTCACAGAGTTGAACCTGACTTTCGATAGAGCAGTTCTGAAACACTCTTTCTGTAGAATTTCCAAGTGGATATTCAGAGTGGTTTGAGTCCTATGGTAGAAAAGGAAATATCTTCATATAAAAATTAGACATTATCATTTTCAGAAACTACTTTGTGATGTGTGCATTCAACTCACAGATTTGAACCTTCCTTTTGATAGAGCAGTTTTGAAACACTCTTTTTGTAGAATTTGCAAGTGAATATTTAGAGGGCTTTGATGCCTATTGTAGAAAAGGAAATATCTTCATAGAATAACTACACAGAAACATTCTCAGAAAGTAATTTGTGATGTTAGCATTCAACTCACAGAGTTGAACCTTCCTTTTGATAGAGCATTTTTTGAAACACTCTCTTTGTAATGGCTGCAAGTGGATATTTGGAGCAATTTGAGGTCTTCTTTGTAAATGAGAATATCTTCACGTAAAAAGTAGACAGAAGTATTCTGAGAAACTACTTTGTGATGTTTGCACTCAACTCACAGTGCTGAAACTTCCTTTTGATAGAGCAGTTTTGAACCACTATTTTTGTAGAATTTCCAAGTGCATAGTTAGAGCGCTTTGAGGCCTATGGTAGAAAAGGAAATATCTTCATAGAAAAACTACACAGAAGCATTCTCAGAAACTACTTTGTGATGTTTGCATTCAACTCAAAGAGTTGAAGATTCCTTTCGATAGGGCAGTTTTGTAACACTCTTTTTGTAGAATCTGCAAGTGGATATTTGGACCTTTTTGGGGACTTCGTTGGAAATGGGATTTCTTCATATAAAAACTATACAGAAGAATTCTCAGAAACTTCTTTGTGATGTGTGCATTCAACTCACAGATTTGAAATTTCCTTTCGATAGAGCAGTATTGAAACACTCTTTTTGTAGCATTTCCGAGTGGATATTAACAGCGCTTTGAAGCCTGAGTTAGAAAAAAAAATAACTTCATATAAAAACTAGACAGAATCATTCTCAGAAACTACTTTGTGATGTGTGCGTTCAACACACGGCATTTAACCTTTCTTTTGATAAAGCAGTATTGCAACATTCTTTTTGTGGAATTTGCAGGTGGATATTTAGAGCGCTTGGAGTCCTTTGGTAGAATACGAAGTATTTTCATAAAAAAATGGCCAGAAGCATTCTCAGAAACTATTTTGTGATGTTTGTATTCAACACGCAAGGCTGAACCATCCTTTTGATAGAGGAGTTTTGAAACACTCTTTGTGTGGAATCTGCAAGTGGATATTTTGTTCCCTTTGAAGCCTAAGTTGGAAAAGGAAATACCTTCACATAAAAACTAGAAAGAAACATTCTCATAAACTTCTTTGTGATGAGTGCATTCAACTCTCGGAGTTGAACCTTCCTTTTGATAGAGCAGTTTTGAAACACTTTGTAAAGTCTGCAAGTGGATATTTGGAGTGCTTTAAGGCCTTCTTTGGAAATGGGAGTACCTTCACATAAAAAGTAGAGAGAAGTATTTTCAGAAACTTCTTTGTGATGTCTGCACTCAAATCACAGATTTGAAACTTCCTTTTGATAGAGCAGTTTTGAAAAACTGCTTTTGTAGATTTTGCAATTGGATAATTGGAGCGCTTTGAGGCCTATGGTATAAAAGGATATATCATCATAGAAAAACTACACGGAAGTATTCTCAGAAACTTCTTTGTGATGTTTGCATTCAACTCACTGTGTTAAACATTCCTTTTTATAGAGCAGTTATGCAACAGTCTGTTTGTAGAATCTGCAAGTGGATATTTGGACCTCTTTGAGGCCTTCGTTGGAAATGGGAATTTCTTCACTTAAAAACTAGACAGGAGAAATCTCAGAAACTTTTTCTGATGTGTGCATTCAACTCACAGAGTTGAGCCTTCCTTTTGATAGAGCAGTTTTTAAACACTCTTTTTTAGAATTTCCAAGTGGATATTTAGAGCGCTTTGAAGCCTATTGTAGAAAAAGAAATATCTTCAGAGAAAAACTACACAGAAGCCTTCTCAGAAAATACTTTGTGATGTTTGCATTCAACTCACTGTGTTAAACATTCCTTTTTATAGAGCAGTTATGCAACAGTCTGTTTGTAGAATCTGCAAGTGGATATTTGGACCTCTTTGAGGCCTTCGTTGGAAATGGGATTTCTTCATATAAAAACTAGACAGAAGAATTATCAGAAACTTCTTTGTGAAGTGCACATTCAACTCACAGAGATGAAACTTGATTCGATAGAGCAGTTTTGAAACACTCTTTTGGTAGAATTTCCAAGTGGATATTTAGAGCGTTTTGAAGCCTATGGTACAAAAGGAAATATCTTCATATAAAAACTAGACAGAATTATTCTCAGAAGCTACTTTGTGATGTGTGTGTTCAACTCACAGGGTTTAACCTTTCTTTTGATAGAGCAGTTTTGAAACACTCTTTTTGTAGAATTTGCAAGTGTATATTTAGATTGCTTTGAGGCCTATGATAGAAAAGGAAATATCTTCACATAAAAACTAGAGAGAAGCATTCTCAGAAACTACTTTGTGAAGTTTCCATTCACCTCACAGACTTGAACGTTCCTTTGATAGAGCAGTTTTGAAACGCCCTTTTTGTGGAATCTGCAAGTGGATATTTGGACCGCTTTGAGGCCTTCTTTAGAAACGGGTATATGTTCACATAAAAAGCAGAAAGGAGGATTCTCAGAAACTTTTTTGTGATGTGTGCATTCAACTCACAGTGTTGAACCTGTCTTTTGATAGAGCAGTTTTGAAACACTCTTTTGGTAAAATCTGCAAGTGGATATGTGGCTCCCTTTGAGGCCTACTATTGAAAAGGAAATATCTTCACGTAAAAACTAGAAAGTATCATTCCCAGAAACTTCTTTTTGATGTGTGCTTTCAACTCACAGAGTTGAAACTTCCTTTTGATAGAGCAGTATTGAAACACTCTTTTTGTAGAATCTGCAAGTGGATATTTGGATCGCTTTGAGGCCTTCTTTGGAAACGGGTATATCTTCACATAGAAAGTAGACAGAAGTATTCTCAGAAGCTTCTTTGTTATGTCTGCATTCAACTCACAGAGTTGAACCTTCCTATTGATAGAAGATTTTTGAAGCACTCTTGTTGTAGAATCTGCAAGTGGATATTTTGACATCTTTGAGGACTTCGTTGGAAACTGGAATTTCTTCACTTACAACCTTGAGAGAAGAAATCTCAGAAACATTTTGTGATGTGTGCATTCAAATCACAGAGTTTAAACTTCCTTTTGGTAGAGCAGTTTTGAAACACACTTTCTGTAGAAACTGCAAGTGGAAAATTACAGTGCTTTGAGACCCACGGTAGAAAAGAAAATATGTTCACATAAAAACTACACAGAAGCATTCTCAGAAACTACTTTGTGTTGTTTGCATTCAACTCACAGAGTTGAACATTCGTTTTGATTGAGCACTTTTGAAACACTCTTTTTGTAGAATCTGCAGGTGGATATTTGGACCTCTTTGAGGCATTCATTGGAAACGGGAATTTCTTCACTTAAATGCTAGACAGAAGAAATCTGAGAAAATTTTTTTGATGTCTGCATTCAACTCCCATTGTTGTACATTCCTTTTGATAGAGCAGTATTGTAAGACTCTTTTTGTAGAATCTGCCAAGTGGATATTTGGACCTCTCTGAGGCCTTCATTGGAAACGGGAATTTCTTCATATAAAAACTAGACAGAAGAATTCTCAGAAACATCTTTGTGATGTGTGCATTACATTCACAGTATTGAACCTTCTTTCGATAGAGCAGTTTTGAAACTCTCTTTTTGTAGAATTTACAAGTGGATATTTAGAGCAGTTTGAGGCCTATGGTAGAAAAGGAAATATCTTCATATAAAAACTGGACAGAAATATTCTCAGAAACAACTTTGTGAGGTGTGTGTTCAACTCACAGTGTTTAAATTACTTTTGATAGAGCAGTTTTGAAACAATCTTTTTGAACTACTTGCAAATGTATATTTAGAGCGCTTTGAGGCCTATGTTAGAAAAGGAAACATCTTCACATAAAAACTAGACAGAAACATTCTCAGAAACTACTTTGTGATGTTTGCATTCAACTCACAGAGGTAAATATTCCTTTCAATAGAGCAGTTTTGAACCACCCTTTTGTAGAATCTGCAAGTGGATATTTGGATAGCTTTGAGGATTTCATTGGAAACGGGAATGTCTTCATAGAAAATTTAGACAGAAGCATTCTCAGAACCTTGATTGTGATGTGTGTTCTCCACTAACAGAGTTGAACCTTTCTTTTGACAGAACTGTTTTGAAACATTCTTTTTATAGAATCTGGAAGTGGATATTTGGAAAGCTTTGAGGATTTCGTTGGAAACGGGAATATCTTCAAATAAAATCTAGCCAGAAGCATTCTAAGAAACATCTTAGGGATGTTTACATTCAAGTCACAGAGTTGAACATTCCCTTTCACAGAGCAGGTTTGAAACAATCTTCTCGTACTATCTGGAAGTGGACATTTTGAGCTCCTTGGGGCTTATGCTGAAAAAGGAAATATCTTCCGACAAGAACCAGACAGAAGCATTCGCAGAATCACGTTTGTGATGTGTGCACTCAACTGTCAGAATTGAACCTTTGTTTGGACAGAGCACTTTTGAAACACTCTTTTTGTAGAATCTGCAGGTGGATATTTGGCTAGCTTTGAGGATTTCGTTGGAAACGGTAATGTCTTCAAAGAAAATCTAGACAGAAACATCCTCAGAAACACCTTCGTGATGTTTGCAATCAAGTCACAGAGTTGAACCTTCCGTTTCATAGAGCAGGTTGGAAACACTCTTTTTGTAGTATCTGGAAGTGGACATCTGGAGCGCTTTCAGGCCTATGGTGAAAAAGGAAATAGCTTCCCATAAAAACGACATAGAAGCTATCTCAGGAACTTGTTTATGATGCATCTAATCAACTAACAGTGTTGAACCTTTGTACTGACAGAGCAGTTTGAAACACTCATTTTTTGGAATCTGCAAGTGGATATTTGGAGCGCTTTGAGGATTTCGTTGGAAACGGGATGCAATATAAAACGTACACAGCAGCATACTCAGAAAATACTTTGCCATATTTCCATTCAAGTCACAGAGTGGAACATTCCCATTCATAAAGCAGGTTTGAAACACTCTTTTTGGAGTATCTGGAAGTGGACATTTGGAGCGCTTTCTGAACTATGGTGAAAAAGGAAATATCTTCCAATGAAAACAAGACAGAAGCATTCTGAGAAACTTATTTGCGATATGTGTCCTCAACTAACGGACTTGAACCTTTCGTTTCATGCAGTACCTCTGGAACACTCTTTTTGAAGATTCTGCATGTGGATATTTGGATAGCTTTGAGGATTTCGTTGGAAGCGGGCTTACATATAAAAATTAGACAGCAGCATTCTCAGAAACTTCTTTGTGGTGTCTGCATTCAAGTCACAGAATTGAAAATCCCCTCACATAGAGCAGTTGTGCAGCACTCTATCTGTAGTATCTCGAAGTGGACATTTGGAGGGCTTTGTAGCCTATCTGGAAAAAGGAAATATCTTCCCATGAATGCGAGATAGAAGTAATCTCAGAAACATGTTTATGCTGTATCTACTCAACTAACTGTGCTGAACATTTCTATTGAAAGAGCAGTTTCGAGACACTCTTCTTTTGGAATCTGCAAGTGGATATTTGGATAGATTTGAGGATTTCGTTGGAAACGGGATTATATATAAAAAGTAGACAGCAGCATTCTCAGAAACTTCTTTGTGATGTTTGCATCCAGCTCTCAGAGTTGAACATTCCCTTTCATAGAGTAGGTTGGAAACCCTCTTTTTATAGTGTCTGGAAGCGGGCATTTGGAGCGCTTTCAGGCCTATGCTGAAAAAGGAAATGTCTACCTATAGAAACTAGACAGAAGCATTCTGAGAATCTCGTTTGTGATGTGGGTACTCAACTAACAGTGTTGATCCATTCTATGGATACAGCAGTTTTGAACCACCCTTTTTGTAGAATCTGCAAGTGGATATTTGGATAGCTGTGAGGATTTCGTTGGAAACGGGAATGTCTTCATAGAAAATTTAGACAGAAGCATTCTCAGAACCTTGATTGTGATGTGTGTTCTCCACTAACAGAGTTGAACCTTTCTTTTGACAGAACTGTTTTGAAACATTCTTTTTATAGAATCTGGAAGTGGATATTGGGAAAGCTTTGAGGATTTCGTTGGAAACGGGAATATCTTCAAATCAAATCTAGCCAGAAGCATGCTAAGAAACATCTTAGGGATGTTTACATTCAAGTCACAGAGTTGAACATTCCCTTTCACAGAGCAGGTTTGAAACAATCTTCTCGTACTATCTGGAAGTGGACATTTTGAGCTCCTTGGGGCCTATGCTGAAAAAGGAAATATCTTCCAACAAAAACTAGACAGAAGCATTCGCAGAATCACGTTTGTGATGTGTGCACTCAACTGTCAGAATTGAACCTTGGTTTGGACAGAGCACTTTTGAAACACTCTTTTTGTAGAATCTGCAGGTGGATATTTGGCTAGCTTTGAGGATTTCGTTGGAAACGGTAATGTCTTCAAAGAAAATCTAGACAGAAACATCCTCAGAAACACCTTCGTGATGTTTGCAATCAAGTCACAGAGTTGAACCTTCCGTTTCATAGAGCAGGTTGGAAACACTCTTTTTGTAGTATCTGGAAGTGGACATCTGGAGCGCTTTCAGGCCTATGGAGAAAAAGGAAATAGCTTCCCATAAAAACGACATAGAAGCTATCTCAGGAACTTGTTTATGATGCATCTAATCAACTAACAGTGTTGAACCTTTGTACTGACAGAGCAGTTTGAAACACTCTTTTTTTGGAATCTGCAAGTAGATATTTGGATCGCTTTGAGGATTTCGTTGGAAACGGGATGCAATATAAAACGTACAAAGCAGCATACTCAGAAAATACTTTGCCATATTTCCATTCAAGTCACAGAGTGGAACATTCCCATTCATAGAGCAGGTTTGAAACACTCTTTTTGGAGTATCTGGAAGTGGACATTTGGAGCGCTTTCTGAACTATGGTGAAAAAGGAAATATCTTCCAATGAAAACAAGACAGAAGCATTCTGAGAAACTTATTTGTGATGCGTGTCCTCAACTAACGGACTCGAACCTTTCGTTTCATGCAGTACTTCTGGAACACTCTTGTTGAAGATTCTGCATGCGGATATTTGGATAGCTTTGAGGATTTCGTTGGAAACGGGCTTACATATAAAAATTAGACAGCAGCATTCTCAGAAACTTCTTTGTGGTGTCTGCACTCAAGTCACAGAATTGAACATCCCCTCACATAGAGCAGTTGTGCAGCACTCTATTTGTAGTATCTCGAAGTGGACATTTGGAGGGCTTTGTAGCCTATCTATGTAGAAAAAGGAAATATCTTCCCATGAATGCGAGATAGAAGTAATCTCAGAAACATGTTTATGCTGTATCTACTCAACTAACTGTGCTGAACATTTCTATTGATAGAGCAGTTTTGAGACACTCTTCTTTTGGAATCTGCAAGTGGATATTTGGCTAGATTTGAGGATTTCGTTGGAAACGGGATTATATATAAAAAGTAGACAGCAGCATTCTCAGAAACTTCTTTGTGATGTTTGCATCCAGCTCTCAGAGTTGAATATTCCCTTTCATAGAGTAGGTTTGAAACCCCCTTTTTGTAGTGTCTGGAAGCGGGCATTTGGAGCGCTTTCAGGCCTATGCTGAAAAAGGAAATATCTACCTATAGAAACTAGACAGAAGCATTCTGAGAATCTCGTTTGTGATGTGGGTACTCAACTAACAGTGTTGATCCATTCTTTTGATACAGCAGTTTTGAACCACCCTTTTTGTAGAATCTGCAAGTGGATATTTGGATAGCTGTGAGGATTTCGTTGGAAACGGGAATGTCTTCATAGAAAATTTAGACAGAAGCATTCTCAGAACCTTGATTGTGATGTGTGTTCTCCACTAACAGAGTTGAACCTTTCTTTTGACAGAACTGTTTTGAAACATTCTTTTTATAGAATCTGGAAGTGGATATTTGGAAAGCTTTGAGGATTTCGTTGGAAACGGGAATATCTTCAAATAAAATCTAGCCAGAAGCATTCTAAGAAACATCTTAGGGATGTTTACATTCAAGTCACAGAGTTGAACATTCCCTTTCACAGAGCACGTTTGAAACAATCTTCTCGTACTATCTGGAAGTGGACATTTTGAGCTCCTTGGGGCCTATGCTGAAAAAGGAAATATCTTCCGACAAAAACTAGACAGAAGCATTCGCAGAATCACGATTGTGATGTGTGCACTCAACTGTCAGAATTGAACCTTGGTTTGGACAGAGCACTTTTGAAACACTCTTTTTGTAGAATCTGCAGGTGGATATTTGGCTAGCTTTGAGGATTTCGTTGGAAACGGTAATGTCTTCAAAGAAAATCTAGACAGAAACATACTCAGAAACACCTTCGTGATGTTTGCAATCAAGTCACAGAGTTGAACCTTCCGTTTCATAGAGCAGGTTGGAAACACTCATTTTGTAGTATCTGGAAGTGGACATTTGGAGCGCTTTCAGGCCTATGGTGTAAAAGGAAATAGCTTCCCATAAAAGCGACATAGAAGCTATCTCAGGAACTTGTTTATGATGCATCTAATCAACTAACAGTGTTGAACCTTTGTACTGACAGAGCAGTTTGAAACACTCTTTTTTTGGAATCTGCAAGTGGATATTTGTATCACTTTGAGGATTTCGTTGGAAACAGGATGCAATATAAAACTTACACAGCAGCATACTCAGAAAATACTTTGCCATATTTCCATTCAAGTCACAGAGTGGAACATTCCCATTCATAGAGCAGGTTTGAAACACTCTTTTTGGAGTATCTGGAAGTGGACATTTGGAGCGCTTTCTGAACTATGGTGAAAAAGGAAATATCTTCCAATGAAAACAAGACAGAAGCATTCTGAGAAACTTATTTGTGATGCGTGTCCTCAACTAACGGACTCGAACCTTTCGTTTCATGCAGTACTTCTGGAACACTCTTTTTGAAGATTCTGCATGCGGATATTTGGATAGCTTTGAGGATTTCGTTGGAAACGGGCTTACGTATAAAAATTAGACAGCAGCATTCTCAGAAACTTCTTTGTGGTGTCTGCATTCAAGTCACAGAACTGAACATCCCCTCACATAGAGCAGTTGTGCAGCACTCTATTTGTAGTATCTCGAAGTGGACATTTGGAGGGCTTTGTAGCCTATCTGGAAAAAGGAAATATCTTCCCATGAATGCGAGATAGAAGTAATCTCAGAAACATGTTTATGCTGTATCTACTCAACTAAGTGTGCTGAACATTTCTATTAATAGAGCAGTTTTGAGACACTCTTTTTTTCGAATCTGCAAGTGGATATTTGGCTAGATTTGAGGATTTCGTTGGAAACGGGATTATATATAAAAAGTAGACAGCAGCATTCTCAGAAACTTCTTTGTGATGTTTGCATCCAGGTCCCAGAGTTGAACATTCCGTTTCATAGAGTAGGTTTGAAACCCCCTTTTTATAGTGTCTGGAAGCGGGCATTTGGAGTGCTTTCAGGCCTATGCTGAAAAAGGAAATATCTACCTACAGAAACTAGACAGAAGCATTCTGAGAATCACGTTTGTGATGTGGGTACTCAACTAACAGTGTTGATTCATTCTTTTGATACAGCAGTTTTGAACCACCCTTTTTGTAGAATCTGCAAGTGGATATTTGGATAGCTGTGAGGATTCGTTGGGAACGGGAATTTCTTCATAGAAAATTTAGACAGAAGCATTCTCAGAACCTGGATTGTGATGTGTGTTCTCCACTAACAGAGTTGAACCTTTCTTTTGACAGAACTGTTTTGAAACATTCTTTTTATAGAATCTGGAAGTGGATATTTGGAAAGCTTTGAGGATTTCGTTGGAAACGGGAATATCTTCAAATAAAATCTAGCCAGAAGCATTCTAAGAAACATCTTAGGGATGTGTACATTCAAGTCACAGAGTTGAACATTCCCCTTTCTCAGAGCAGGTTTGAAACAATCTTCTCGTACTATCTGGCAGTGGACATTTTGAGCTCCTTGGGGCCTATGCTGAAAAAGGAAATATCTTCCGACAAAAACTAGACAGAAGCATTCGCAGAATCACGTTTGTGATGTGTGCACTCAACTGTCAGAATTGAACCTTTGTTTGGACAGAGCACTTTTGAAACACTCTTTTTGTAGAATCTGCAGGTGGATATTTGGCTAGCTTTGAGGATTTCGTTGGAAACGGTAATGTCTTCAAAGAAAATCTAGACAGAAGCATTCTCAGAAACACCTTCGTGATGTTTGCAATCAAGTCACAGAGTTGAACCTTCCGTTTCATAGAGCAGGTAGGAAACACTCATTTTGTAGTATCTGGAAGTGGACATTTGGAGCGCTTTCAGGCCTATGGTGTAAAAGGAAATATCTTCCCATAAAAGCGACATAGAAGCTATCTCAGGAACTTGTTTATGATGCATCTAATCAACTAACAGTGTTGAACCTTTGTACTGACAGAGCAGTTTGAAACACTCTTTTTTTGGAATCTGCAAGTGGATATTTGGATCGCTTTGAGGATTTCGTTGGAAACGGGATGCAATATAAAACGTACTCAGCAGCATACTCAGAAAATACTTTGCCATATTTCCATTCAAGTCACAGAGTGGAACATTCCCATTCATAGAGCAGGTTTGAAACACTCTTTTTGGAGTATCTGGAAGTGGACATTTGGAGCGCTTTCTGAACTATGGTGAAAAAGGAAATATGTTCCAATGAAAACAAGACAGAAGCATTCTGAGAAACTTATTTGTGATGCGTGTCCTCAACTAACGTACTCAAACCTTTCGTTTCATGCAGTACTTCTGGAACACTCTTTTTGAAGATTCTGCATGCGGATATTTGGATAGCTTTGAGGATTTCGTTGGATACGGGCTTATATATAAAAATTAGACAGCAGCATTCTCAGAAACTTCTTTGTGGTGTCTGCATTCAAGTCACAGAATTGAACATCCCCTCACATAGAGCAGTTGTGCAGCACTCTATTTGTAGTATCTCGAAGTGGACATTTGGAGGGCTTTGTAGCCTATCTGGAAAAAGGGAATATCTTCCCATGAATGCGAGATAGAAGTAATCTCAGAAACAGGTTTATGCTGTATCTACTCAACTAACTGTGCTGAACATTTCTATTGATAGAGCAGTTTTGAGACACTCTTCTTTTGGAATCTGCAAGTGGATATTTGGATAGATTTGAGGATTTCGTTGGAAACGGGATTATATATCAAAAGTAGACAGCAGCATTCTCAGAAACTTCTTTGTGATGTTTGCATCCAGCTCTCAGAGTTGAACATTCCCTTTCATAGAGTAGGTTTGAAACCCCCTTTTTATAGTGTCTGGAAGCGGGCATTTGGAGCGCTTTCAGGCCTATGCTGAAAAAGGAAATATCTACCTACAGAAACTAGACAGAAGCATTCTGAGAATCACGTTTGTGATGTGGGTCCTCAACTAACAGTGTTGATTCATTCTTTTGATACAGCAGTTTTGAACCACACTTTTTGTAGAATCTGCAAGTGGATATTTGGATAGCTGTGAGGATTTCGTTGGAAACGGGAATGTCTTCATAGAAAATTTAGACAGAAGCATTCTCAGAACCTGGATTGTGATGTGTGTTCTCCACTAACAGAGTTGAACCTTTCTTTGGACAGAACTGTTTTGAAACATTCTTTTTATAGAATCTGGAAGTGTATATTTGGAAAGCTTTGAGGATTTCGTTGGAAACGGGAATATCTTCAAATCAAATCTAGCCAGAAGCATTCTAAGAAACATCTTAGGGATGTGTACATTCAAGTCACAGAGTTGAACATTCCCCTTTCTCAGAGCAGGTTTGAAACAATCTTCTCGTACTATCTGGCAGTGGACATTTTGAGCTCCTTGGGGCCTATGCTGAAAAAGGAAATATATTCCGACAAAAACTAGACAGAGGCATTCGCAGAATCACGTTTGTGATGTGTGAACTCAACTGTCAGAATTGAACCTTGGTTTGGACAGAGCACTTTTGAAACACTCTTTTTGTAGAATCTGCAGGTGGATATTTGGCTAGCTTTGAGGATTTCGTTGGAAAAGGTAATGTCTTCAAAGAAAATCTAGACAGAAACATCCTCTGAAACACCTTCGTGATGTTTGCAATCAAGTCACAGAGTTGAACCTTCCGTTTCATAGAGCAGGTTGGAAACACTCATTTTGTAGTATCTGGAAGTGGACATTTGGAGCGCTTTCAGGCCTATGGTGTAAAAGGAAATATCTTCCCATAAAAGCGACATAGAAGCTATCTCAGGAACTTGTTTATGATGCATCTAATCAACTAACAGTGTTGAACCTTTGTACTGACAGAGCAGTTTGAAACACTCTTTTTTTGGAATCTGCAAGTGGATATTTGGATCGCTTTGAGGATTTCGTTGGAAACGGGATGAATATCAAACGTACACAGCAGCATACTCAGAAAATACTTTGCCATATTTCCATTCAAGTCACAGAGTGGAACATTCCCATTCATAGAGCAGGTTTGAAACACTCTTTTTGGAGTATCTGGAAGTGGACATTTGGAGCGCTTTCTGAACTATGGTGAAAAAGGAAATATCTTCCAATGAAAACAAGACAGAAGCATTCTGAGAAACTTATTTGTGATGCGTGTCCTCAACTAACGTACTCAAACCTTTCGTTTCATGCAGTACTTCTGGAACACTCTTTTTGAAGATTCTGCATGCGGATATTTGGATACCTTTGAGGATTTCGTGGGAAACGGGCTTACATATAAAAATTAGACAGCAGCATTCTCAGAAACTTCTTTGTGGTGTCTGCATTCAAGTCACATAATTGAACATCCCCTCACATAGAGCAGTTGTGCAGCACTCTATTTGTAGTATCTCGAAGTGGACATTTGGAGGGCTTGGTAGCCTATCTGGAAAAAGGAAATATCTTCCCATGAATGCGAGATAGAAGTAATCTCAGAAACATGTTTATGCTGTATCTACTCAACTAACTGTGCTGAACATTTCTATTGATAGAGCAGTTTTGAGACACTCTTCTTTTGGAATCTGCAAGTGGATATTTGGCTAGATTTGAGGATTTCGTTGGAAACGGGATTATATATAAAAAGTAGACAGCAGCATTCTCAGAAACTTCTTTGTGATGTTTGCATCCAGCTCTCAGAGTTGAACATTCCCTTTCATAGAGTAGATTTGAAACCCCCTTTTTATAGTGTCTGGAAGCGGGCATTTGGAGCGCTTTCAGGCCTATGCTGAAAAAGGAAATATCTACCTACAGAAACTAGACAGAAGCATTCTGAGAATCACGTTTGTGATGTGGGTACTCAACTAACAGTGTTGATCCATTCTTTTGATACAGCAGTTTTGAACCACCTTTTTTGTAGAATCTGCAATGGATATTTGGATAGCTGTGAGGATTCGTTGGGAACGGGAATGTCTTCATAGAAAATTTAGACAGAAGCATTCTCAGAACCTGGATTGTGATGTGTGTTCTCCACTAACAGAGTTGAACCTTTCTTTTGACAGAACTGTTTTGAAACTTTCTTTTTATAGAATCTGGAAGTGTATATTTGGAAAGCTTTGAGGATTTCGTTGGAAACGGGAATATCTTCAAATAAAATCTAGCCAGAAGCATTCTAAGAAACATCTTAGGGATGTGTACATTCAAGTCACAGAGTTGAACATTCCCCTTTCTCAGAGCAGGTTTGAAACAATCTTCTCGTACTATCTGGCAGTGGACATTTTGAGCTCCTTGGGGCCTATGCTGAAAAAGGAAATATCTTCCGACAAAAACTAGACAGAAGCATTCGCAGAATCACGTTTGTGATGTGTGCACTCAACTGTCAGAATTGAACCTTTGTTTGGACAGAGCACTTTTGAAACACTCTTTTTGTAGGATCTGCAGGTGGATATTTGGCTAGCTTTGAGGATTTCGTTGGAAACGGTAATGTCTTCAAAGAAAATCTAGACAGAAACATCCTCAGAAACACCTTCGTGATGTTTGCAATCAAGTCACAGAGTTGAACCTTCCGTTTCATAGAGTAGGTTGGAAACACTCATTTTGTAGTATCTGGAAGTGGACATTTGGAGCGCTTTCAGGCCTATGGTGTAAAAGGAAATATCTTCCCATAAAAGCGACATAGAAGCTATCTCAGGAACTTGTTTATGATGCCTCTAATCAACTAACAGTGTTGAACCTTTGTACTGACAGAGCAGTTTGAAACACTCTTTTTTTGGAATCTGCAAGTGGATATTTGGATCGCTTTGAGGATTTCGTTGGAAACGGGATGCAATATAAAACGTACACAGCAGCATACTCAGAAAATACTTTGCCATATTTCCATTCAAGTCACAGAGTGGAACATTCCCATTCATAGAGCAGGTTTGAAACACTCTTTTTGGAGTATCTGGAAGTGGACATTTGGAGCGCTTTCTGAACTATGGTGAAAAAGGAAATATCTTCCAATGAAAACAAGACAGAAGCATTCTGAGAAACTTATTTGTGATGCGTGTCCTCAACTAACGGACTCGAACCTTTCGTTTCATGCAGTACTTCTGGAACACTCTTTTTGAAGATTCTGCATGCGCATATTTGGATAGCTTTGAGGATTTCGTTGGAAACGGGCTTACATATAAAAATTAGACAGCAGCATTCTCAGAAACTTCTTTGTGGTGTCTGCATTCAAGTCACAGAACTGAACATCCCCTCACATAGAGCAGTTGTGCAGCACTCTATTTGTAGTATCTGGAAGTGGACATTTGGAGGGCTTTGTAGCCTATCTGGAAAAAGGAAATATCTTCCCATGAATGCGAGATAGAAGTAATCTCAGAAACATGTTTATGCTGTATCTACTCAACTAAGTGTGCTGAACATTTCTATTAATAGAGCAGTTTTGAGACACTCTTCTTTTCGAATCTGCAAGTGGATATTTGGCTAGATTTGAGGATTTCGTTGGAAACGGGATTATATATAAAAAGTAGACAGCAGCATTCTCAGAAACTTCTTTGTGATGTTTGCATCCAGGTCTCAGAGTTGAACATTCCGTTTCATAGAGTAGGTTTGAAACCCCCTTTTTATAGTGTCTGGAAGCGGGCATTTGGAGCGCTTTCAGGCCTATGCTGAAAAAGGAAATATCTACCTACAGAAACTAGACAGAAGCATTCTGAGAATCACGTTTGTGATGTGGGTACTCAACTAACAGTGTTGATCCATTCTTTTGATACAGCAGTTTTGAACCACCCTTTTTGTAGAATCTGCAAGTGGATATTTGGATAGCTGTGAGGATTCGTTGGGAACGGGAATTTCTTCATAGAAAATTTAGACAGAAGCATTCTCAGAACCTGGATTGTGATGTGTGTTCTCCACTAACAGAGTTGAACCTTTCTTTTGACAGAACTGTTTTGAAACATTCTTTTTATAGAATCTGGAAGTGGATATTTGGAAAGCTTTGAGGATTTCGTTGGAAACGGGAATATCTTCAAATAAAATCTAGCCAGAAGCATTCTAAGAAACATCTTAGGGATGTGTACATTCAAGTCACAGAGTTGAACATTCCCCTTTCTCAGAGCAGGTTTGAAACAATCTTCTCGTACTATCTGGCAGTGGACATTTTGAGCTCCTTGGGGCCTATGCTGAAAAAGGAAATATCTTCCGACAAAAACTAGACAGAAGCATTCGCAGAATCACGTTTGTGATGTGTGCACTCAACTGTCAGAATTGAACCTTTGTTTGGACAGAGCACTTTTGAAACACTCTTTTTGTAGAATCTGCAGGTGGATATTTGGCTAGCTTTGAGGATTTCGTTGGAAACGGTAATGTCTTCAAAGAAAATCTAGACAGAAACATCCTCAGAAACACCTTCGTGATGTTTGCAATCAAGTCACAGAGTTGAACCTTCCGTTTCATAGAGCAGGTTGGAAACACGCATTTTGTAGTATCTGGAAGTGGACATTTGGAGCGCTTTCAGGCCTATGGTGTAAAAGGAAATATCTTCCCATAAAAGCGACATAGAAGCTATCTCAGGAACTTGTTTATGATGCATCTAATCAACTAACAGTGTTGAACCTTTGTACTGACAGAGCAGTTTGAAACACTCTTTTTTTGGAATCTGCAAGTGGATATTTGGATCGCTTTGAGGATTTCGTTAGAAACGGGATGCAATATAAAACGTACTCAGCAGCATACTCAGAAAATACTTTGCCATATTTCCATTCAAGTCACAGAGTGGAACATTCCCATTCATAGAGCAGGTTTGAAACACTCTTTTTGGAGTATCTGGAAGTGGACATTTGGAGCGCTTTCTGAACTATGGTGAAAAAGGAAATATGTTCCAATGAAAACAAGACAGAAGCATTCTGAGAAACTTATTTGTGATGCGTGTCCTCAACTAACGTACTCAAACCTTTCGTTTCATGCAGTACTTCTGGAACACTCTTTTTGAAGATTCTGCATGCGGATATTTGGATAGCTTTGAGGATTTCTTTGGATACGGGCTTATATATAAAAATTAGACAGCAGCATTCTCAGAAACTTCTTTGTGGTGTCTGCATTCAAGTCACAGAATTGAACATCCCCTCACATAGAGCAGTTGTGCAGCACTCTATTTGTAGTATCTCGAAGTGGACATTTGGAGGGCTTTGTAGCCTATCTGGAAAAAGGGAATATCTTCCCATGAATGCGAGATAGAAGTAATCTCAGAAACAGGTTTATGCTGTATCTACTCAACTAACTGTGCTGAACATTTCTATTGATAGAGCAGTTTTGAGACACTCTTCTTTTGGAATCTGCAAGTGGATATTTGGCTAGATTTGAGGATTTCGTTGGAAACGGGATTATATATCAAAAGTAGACAGCAGCATTCTCAGAAACTTCTTTGTGATGTTTGCATCCAGCTCTCAGAGTTGAACATTCCCTTTCATAGAGTAGGTTTGAAACCCCCTTTTTATAGTGTCTGGAAGCGGGCATTTGGAGCGCTTTCAGGCCTATGCTGAAAAAGGAAATATCTACCTACAGAAACTAGACAGAAGCATTCTGAGAATCACGTTTGTGATGTGGGTCCTCAACTAACAGTGTTGATTCATTCTTTTGATACAGCAGTTTTGAACCACACTTTTTGTAGAATCTGCAAGTGGATATTTGGATAGCTGTGAGGATTTCGTTGGAAACGGGAATGTCTTCATAGAAAATTTAGACAGAAGCATTCTCAGAACCTGGATTGTGATGTGTGTTCTCCACTAACAGAGTTGAACCTTCCTTTGGACAGAACTGTTTTGAAACATTCTTTTTATAGAATCTGGAAGTGGATATTTGGAAAGCTTTGAGGATTTCGTTGGAAACGGGAATATCTTCAAATCAAATCTAGCCAGAAGCATTCTAAGAAACATCTTAGGGATGTGTACATTCAAGTCACAGAGTTGAACATTCCCCTTTCTCAGAGCAGGTTTGAAACAATCTTCTCGTACTATCTGGCAGTGGACATTTTGAGCTCCTTGGGGCCTATGCTGAAAAAGGAAATATATTCCGACAAAAACTAGAGAGAGAAATTCGCAGAATCACGTTTGTGATGTGTGCACTCAACTGTCAGAATTGAACCTTGGTTTGGACAGAGCACTTTTGAAACACTCTTTTTGTAGAATCTGCAGGTGGATATTTGGCTAGCTTTGAGGATTTCGTTGGAAACGGTAATGTCTTCAAAGAAAATCTAGACAGAAACATCCTCTGAAACACCTTCGTGATGTTTGCAATCAAGTCACAGAGTTGAACCTTCCGTTTCATGGAGCAGGTTTGAAACACTCATTTTGTAGTATCTGGAAGTGGACATTTGGAGCGCTTTCAGGCCTATGGTGTAAAAGGAAATATCTTCCCATAAAAGCGACATAGAAGCTATCTCAGGAACTTGTTTATGATGCATCTAATCAACTAACAGTGTTGAACCTTTGTACTGACAGAGCAGTTTGAAACACTCTTTTTTTGGAATCTGCAAGTGGATATTTGGATCGCTTTGAGGATTTCGTTGGAAACGGGATGCAATATCAAACGTACACAGCAGCATACTCAGAAAATACTTTGCCATATTTCCATTCAAGTCACAGAGTGGAACATTCCCATTCATAGAGCAGGTTTGAAACACTCTTTTTGGAGTATCTGGAAGTGGACATTTGGAGCGCTTTCTGAACTATGGTGAAAAAGGAAATATCTTCCAATGAAAACAAGACAGAAGCATTCTGAGAAACTTATTTGTGATGCGTGTCCTCAACTAACGTACTCAAACCTTTCGTTTCATGCAGTACTTCTGGAACACTCTTTTTGAAGATTCTGCATGCGGATATTTGGATACCTTTGAGGATTTCGTGGGAAACGGGCTTACATATAAAAATTAGACAGCAGCATTCTCAGAAACTTCTTTGTGGTGTCTGCATTCAAGTCACATAATTGAACATCCCCTCACATAGAGCAGTTGTGCAGCACTCTATTTGTAGTATCTCGAAGTGGACATTTGGAGGGCTTTGTAGCCTATCTGGAAAAAGGAAATATCTTCCCATGAATGCGAGATAGAAGTAATCTCAGAAACATGTTTATGCTGTATCTACTCAACTAACTGTGCTGAACATTTCTATTGATAGAGCAGTTTTGAGACACTCTTCTTTTGGAATCTGCAAGTGGATATTTGGCTAGATTTGAGGATTTCGTTGGAAACGGGATTATATATAAAAAGTAGACAGCAGCATTCTCAGAAACTTCTTTGTGATGTTTGCATCCAGCTCTCAGAGTTGAACATTCCCTTTCATAGAGTAGATTTGAAACCCCCTTTTTATAGTGTCTGGAAGCGGGCATTTGGAGCCCTTTCAGGCCTATGCTGAAAAAGGAAATATCTACCTACAGAAACTAGACAGAAGCATTCTGAGAATCACGTTTGTGATGTGGGTACTCAACTAACAGTGTTGATCCATTCTTTTGATACAGCAGTTTTGAACCACCCTTTTTGTAGAATCTGCAATGGATATTTGGATAGCTGTGAGGATTCGTTGGGAACGGGAATTTCTTCATAGAAAATTTAGACAGAAGCATTCTCAGAACCTGGATTGTGATGTGTGTTCTCCACTAACAGAGTTGAACCTTTCTTTCGACAGAACTGTTTTGAAACATTCTTTTTATAGAATCTGGAAGTGGATATTTGGAAAGCTTTGAGGATTTCGTTGGAAACGGGAATATCTTCAAATAAAATCTAGCCAGAAGCATTCTAAGAAACATCTTAGGGATGTTTACATTCAAGTCACAGAGTTGAACATTCCCCTTTCTCAGAGCAGGTTTGAAACAATCTTCTCGTACTATCTGGCAGTGGACATTTTGAGCTCCTTGGGGCCTATGCTGATAAAGGAAATATCTTCCGACAAAAACTAGACAGAAGCATTCGCAGAATCACGTTTGTGATGTGTGCACTCAACTGTCAGAATTGAACCTTTGTTTGGACAGAGCACTTTTGAAACACTCTTTTTGTAGGATCTGCAGGTGGATATTTGGCTAGCTTTGAGGATTTCGTTGGAAACGGTAATGTCTTCAAAGAAAATCTAGACAGAAACATCCTCAGAAACACCTTCGTGATGTTTGCAATCAAGTCACAGAGTTGAACCTTCCGTTTCATAGAGCAGGTTGGAAACACTCATTTTGTAGTATCTGGAAGTGGACATTTGGAGCGCTTTCAGGCCTATGGTGTAAAAGGAAATATCTTCCCATAAAAGCGACATAGAAGCTATCTCAGGAACTTGTTTATGATGCCTCCAATCAACTAACAGTGTTGAACCTTTGTACTGACAGAGCAGTTTGAAACACTCTTTTTTTGGAATCTGCAAGTGGATATTTGGATCGCTTTGAGGATTTCGTTGGAAACGGGATGCAATATAAAACGTACACAGCAGCATACTCAGAAAATATTTTGCCATATTTCCATTCAAGTCACAGAGTGGAACATTCCCATTCATAGAGCAGGTTTGAAACACTCTTTTTGGAGTATCTGGAAGTGGACATTTGGAGCGCTTTCTGAACTATGGTGAAAAGGGAAATATGTTCCAATGAAAACAAGACAGAAGCATTCTGAGAAACTTATTTGTGATGCGTGTCCTCAACTAACGGACTCGAAGCTTTGGTTTCATGCAGTACTTCTGGAACACTCTTTTTGAAGATTCTGCATGCGGATATTTGGTTAGCTTTGAGGATTTCGTTGGAAACGGGCTTACATATAAAAATTAGACAGCAGCATTCTCAGAAACTTCTATGTGGTGTCTGCATTCAAGTCACAGAATTGAACATCCCCTCACATAGAGCAGTTGTGCAGCACTCTATTTGTAGTATCTCGAAGTGGACATTTGGAGGGCTTTGTAGCCTATCTGGAAAAAGGAAATATCTTCCCATGAATGCGAGATAGAAGTAATCTCAGAAACATGTTTATGCTGTATCTACTCAACTAACTGTGCTGAACATTTCTATTGATAGAGCAGTTTTGAGACACTCTTCTTTTGGAATCTGCAAGTGGATATTTGGCTAGATTTGAGGATTTCGTTGGAAACGGGATTATATATCAAAAGTAGACAGCAGCATTCTCAGAAACTTCTTTGTGATGTTTGCATCCAGCTCTCAGAGTTGAACATTCCCTTTCATAGAGTAGGTTTGAAACCCCCTTTTTATAGTGTCTGGAAGCGGGCATTTGGAGCGCTTTCAGGCCTATGCTGAAAAAGGAAATATCTACCTACAGAAACTAGACAGAAGCATTCTGAGAATCACGTTTGTGATGTGGGTACTCAACTAACAGTGTTGATCCATTCTTTTGATACAGCAGTTTTGAACCACCTTTTTTGTAGAATCTGCAAGTGGATATTTGGATAGCTGTGAGGATTTCGTTGGAAACGGGAATGTCTTCATAGAAAATTTAGACAGAAGCATTCTCAGAACCTGGATTGTGATGTGTGTTCTCCACTAACAGAGTTGAACCTTTCTTTGGACAGAACTGTTTTGAAACATTCTTTTTATAGAATCTGGAAGTGTATATTTGGAAAGCTTTGAGGATTTCGTTGGAAACGGGAATATCTTCAAATAAAATCTAGCCAGAAGCATTCTAAGAAACATCTTAGGGATGTGTACATTCAAGTCACAGAGTTGAACATTCCCCTTTCTCAGAGCAGGTTTGAAACAATCTTCTCGTACTATCTGGCAGTGGACATTTTGAGCTCCTTGGGGCCTATGCTGAAAAAGGAAATATCTTCCGACAAAAACTAGACAGAAGCATTCGCAGAATCACGTTTGTGATGTGTGCACTCAACTGTCAGAATTGAACCTTTGTTTGGACAGAGCACTTTTGAAACACTCTTTTTGTAGGATCTGCAGGTGGATATTTGGCTAGCTTTGAGGATTTCGTTGGAAACGGTAATGTCTTCAAAGAAAATCTAGACAGAAACATCCTCAGAAACACCTTCGTGATGTTTGCAATCAAGTCACAAAGTTGAACCTTCCGTTTCATAGAGCAGGTTGGAAACACTCATTTTGTAGTATCTGGAAGTGGACATTTGGAGCGCTTTCAGGCCTATGGTGTAAAAGGAAATATCTTCCCATAAAAGCGACATAGAAGCTATCTCAGGAACTTGTTTATGATGCCTCTAATCAACTAACAGTGTTGAACCTTTGTACTGACAGAGCAGTTTGAAACACTCTTTTTTTGGAATCTGCAAGTGGATATTTGGATCGCTTTGAGGATTTCGTTGGAAACGGGATGCAATATAAAACGTACACAGCAGCATACTCAGAAAATACTTTGCCATATTTCCATTCAAGTCACAGAGTGGAACATTCCCATTCATAGAGCAGGTTGGAAACACTCTTTTTGGAGTATCTGGAAGTGGACATTTGGAGCGCTTTCTGAACTATGGTGAAAAGGGAAATATGTTCCAATGAAAACAAGACAGAAGCATTCTGAGAAACTTATTTGTGATGCGTGTCCTCAACTAACGGACTCGAAGCTTTCGTTTCATGCAGTACTTCTGGAACACTCTTTTTGAAGATT